>NC_000004.12:130436532-130739562 GCF_000001405.40 Homo sapiens | reverse complement strand
AGACAGAGATGGGTCCCCAGTGAAATCCAACATTCAAGCCAAAGACAGCCTGAAGCCTGAAAACCTGACAGCCAGTTCTGGATAGAGTTCACAATCAGAGTGAGAACTTCCATCCCCAATCTCAGGCACTCTCTCTCGATTGGTTCCTTCTGGATGATGTCTTTCAACCAATCAAATGCAATCAAATGATGCTTCTTCCAAGACCATCCATAGACCAATCAGCATGCATTCCCCAATTCAAAGCCCATAAATACCCCATACTCAGCCACAAAGACAGCTACCCACTTCAGGTTCCCACTCACTGTCGAGAGCCTTTCTGTAGCTCAATAAAATTCTATTCTCTCTTGCTCATTTCTGGTGTCTGCATACCTCATTCTTCTTGGTTGCTAGACAAGAGCCCATAAACTGCTGAATGGGGGGAGCAAAAAGAGCTGTAACACTCTCTCCCACTCACCAAACTATGGGAGTGAAAGAAGCCACTGGGTGCTGTTGCTGAGCTGTGGATGGTGAGAGTAAATATGTTTGTAACACTCTCTCCTGCTTTCTGAACTATGGGAGTGGAAAAGCTGCTGGAGGCCACTCTCTGCTGCTCACTGAACTAGAGGAACAAAAATATCACTACAATATCATCATTCTATGCAATGGAGTAACAATTACAATATCTGGAACAATATTCAGCTACTTTTAGCTATCTCACTGTCCATATACAATGGCTGTATTGATTTCCTATTTTTGTACTACCCCTTTTAACTTTAAGGTCTTAATGATGGCTTTGAGTTCTTTTTTTTGTATTTGCCATTTAATCTCCCAAGAAGGGACAGAAAGAAAAGTTCAGAAACGTTTTACACACACTATTAGCACTTCTATAGTTATAGCTTTTCCTGATGAGGAGAATTTCCTCTAGCCTTTATAAGCATTTACTGCAGAAGCAGGTAAAACATCAATGTTAATTATTCATTCTTCAGTGGAAGCCACAATGCTGTCACAGGATCCTTAGGGTTTCACTTCTCCAGCCAGAAACCTCTGTGGCTTGTGGCACCTCTGCTTGGATTTTGCTCATTCCTGCCGCACTTGTTCTGCCCACTAGGGCTTGGCTAGTGCTACTGGCCCGGATCTCATGCCTGCCAAGGGTGAGCCAGGCACAGAGCACTTGGCTTGTGCTACCGGCCTGTATCCCATGCCTGCCAAGGGTGAGCCAGGCACAGAGCAGTGAGGGAGGTGTGAACCAAGCCAAAGGCAACCTGAAGCCTGAAAACCTAACAGCCAGTTCTGGATAGAGTCCACAACCAGAGTGAGAATTTCTATCCCCATCTCATGCACCCTCTCTTGATTAGTTCCTTCTGGATGATGCCTTTTAACCAATCAAATGGTGCTTTTTTACAGACCACCCAGGGACCAAACAGCATGCATTCCCCAATTCTAAACCCATAAAACCTCTAAACTCAGCCATAAAGATGGCTACCCACTTCAGGTTCCCAAGTTGGCCACTCACTGTCGGGTTTGGGGTCTGGCCACTGCACACGGCCAGGCATACTAGCTGATGGGATTGGGTGGGCAGCTCCACACACTGGCACAATCACTGACTCCATGCAAGGCTGTGGCTAGACCGGGCATACCACAAGTGATTTCCACTGTGAGCAATGGGTAACACAGTGGCTCCTGAAAGCTCAGAGGCACCAGAAACTGCAGAGACCCAAAGAGGGTGTAACAGCATGTCACAGCCCTGGGAAGCACTGAGGTCTGGACTCCCAGAAGGGCCACAGCTCTTCTCTCCTTCTCATCACCCTCAGCATTGTGAACAGCAGGCTGCATGTCAGTCTGTTTGTGTTATAGCCCTTTCAGGCCTTCCACCCACTCTGGCCCACAGCTCCTTGGCTGGCCTGGCCCCAGTACTGCTTCCCATTGTTTGGGGTGGCCACCCAGCACAGATGGAGAGTGGGAGGGCTATAGTGTTACAGCAGCTCTGGCTCAGGGAATCTTGAGGTCTGGGTCTCCAAAAAGGTTGCCACTTGACTCTTGCAGTTTGAGAGCATGTCACTGCCCACAGCTCAGCAAGCCAACCAAGAAGATGTTACAGTTCCATTTGCTCCCTTTATTTGTTGGGTCCTGAGTTCTTGTTCTGCACCCAGGAAGAATGAGGTTAGGTGGACAACTGGAGGGTGAGCAAGTCAGAGTAGCTTTATTGAGTGACAGAACAGCTCTCAGGAGACCCAAGTGGGTAGCTCCTTTCTGCAGGCAGCTCATCTTGACAAGTGTAGAGAACACTGAAAGAGGGTAGCTCCTATCCACAGGCAGGTAGTCCTGATGAGTGTAGAGGAGACCCAAAGTGGGTAGCTCTTATTTGCAGGCAGGAAGTCCTGATGAGTATCTGAGCCTGGCTTAGCCTGGGGTTTTTATGTGCACTGAAGGAAGGAAGTGAGTGCTGATTGGTCTATAGGTGGCCACAATTGTGCCTGAAAGAAGCACCATTCAGTTGGCCAAAAGTCATCAATGAAGTACTTACTCTGGGTCATGGACTCCACCTGCCAGTTCCAGGCTCAGGCCATCCCTGGCTTGAAGGTGGGGTCTCACTAGGGACCCACCCCTTCCTGCCTAAGTACCTGTCTGCTTCCTGCCACTATTAACATGCCCTCCATGGCACCCAGGATGTCTGTACTACGGGGAAAATGCAGGCCCACTCTGAGTCATCTTTAGCCCCTTGGTCTTCCTTCAGTGCTTGTTGTTGCCCAAAGTCCAGAGGGGGCTGAGGAGGCAGGGGGCTGGCATGTCAGCACCGCCCCAAGTGTTTACACACCTGGCAGGGTCACAACAGCATCCAGGCTCAGCCACAACTTTGTTCTGTACTGGAGCACTTACGGGGAATGGGGAGAGGCCAGGGAGCAGGAGCAGGCCCTTCCAAGCCTGCGGGTTCGGGGGGCTTCCTGCATCCCTGAGAGCACAGGGATTTCTGGGTTCTGAGGCACGACTGGATGGCAGCATCTGTGCATGGGAGCACAGGCTCTCGTCCCACCAACTCAGTAAGAGGCAGGGCTTCCACTGGGATCACCTGTTCCTGACCCCTGCCAGATCCATAGAGCATACAGCCCTGGCCATGCTTCCCCTGCTGCTGCAGCTGGCATCTGTGCAGTGGCCACTCCAGATGGCTACTGTGCCATCAATGTTGTATTGGATTAGCCCAATGAACCCCACATACCGTCTGACATCTCTTTCTTTTTCAACTGCAATGCCCACTCAAAACCAACAAGTTGAATTCAGGAGTCTGCTGCCCTGATGTGACCAGGCACAAGATAATTTGGGCACCTGCTCCTGATAAAACTATAAAAGATTGAGTTAATTCTCTTCTCAACATTTTTCAGAATATTCAAAAAGTACTATATAAGCTTCAGTTATTTAAGAGACAGAGAAACTTCAGGCCCATCTCTAAACATCTTTCTCCTTGAAATTTCTGAGACTGGGGGACGAGAGAAGGTGGGATCAAAGAGCATGGAGAGAGAGAGACTTTATGGACTCAAGCAATTTACTTTTGGTCATAATTAATGAAGTAGTAACTCAACCAATAATCTTCCTATATGTTCAGCATCCCTCCCCTCTCTCCAACTCCAGCGATGCTCTATATATCCAGAAGTGAGGTTATCATGGTTGACCCAATGAATGTTTTAGGAAGTTCTAGAATCAGCAGCTTTAGTTGTCTTGTATTCTAGCTGGGACCTTGGGTTTTGAGTACTTTGCTTTCTCACTCTTTACTTGCACAATGGTATATTTTTTGAAAGAGCTCACCTTATTCTGGTGCATCTGCTGCTCTTTGCCAATATAAGATCTCTAATTCTCATCTGGCTATAACATAAAAGTAAGGGGAGTTTTTAAGTGTGTAATGATTTATCTAGATTAATCTAGATATCTTTTGTTGAAACTGTTTTCCAGATTATCATCTTTATTAGCATTTTAAATCAAATTCAGGGCAAAAGAGCCCCAATACTAGTCAATGCTTTATCTATGTTTTTTCCTTAAGGTTATCTGTAACAATGACATCTTCCTGCAAAAGGCAATTTTTTTTATAATTTCAATTTTTTTATTTTGGATTCAGAGGATACATGTCAAGTTTGTTACATGGGTATATTGTATGATGCAGAGGTTTGGGATATGAATGATCCTGTCACCCAGATATTGAGCATAGCTCTCAACAGTTAGTTTTTCCACACTTTTCCTCCCTCTTTTCCTCCCCACCCTAGTAATCCCCAGTATATATTTTTGTCGCCTTTATGTTCATGAGTACCCAATATTTAGCTCCCACTTATAAGTGAAAACAAATACTATTTGGTTTTCTGTTCCTCTGTTAATTCACTGAGGATAATGGATGGCCTCCAGCTGCATGTATACTCTTGCAAAGGACAAGTTTTTGTTTTCTTACTACCGCTTACTACTTCTTGGTGTATATGTACCACATTTCTTTATCCAGTATATCATTGATGGGTACCTAGGATGATTCCATATTTTTACTATTATGAATGGTGCTGGGATAAACATACAAGTGCATGTGTCTTTTGGCAGAATGAACTATTTTCTTTTAGAAATATACCCAGTATTGGGATTGCTGGGTCAAATCTCCAAAGTGATTTCCACAGTTTGGAGATTTCTTTTTTTTTTTTTCTTTATATATAATTTTCTCTTTTTTAGTTTTTTTTTATTATTATTATACTTTAAGTTTTAGGGTACATGTGCACAATGTGCAGGTTAGTTACATATGTATACATGTGCCATGCTGGTGTGCTGCACCCATTAACTCATCATTTAGCATTAGGTATATCTCCTAATGCTATCCCTCCCCCCTCCCCCCTCCCCCTGCCCCACAACAGTCCCCAAAGTGTGATGTTCCCCTTCCTGTGTCCATGTATTCTCATTGTTCAATTCCCACCTATGAGTGTGAACATGTGGTGTTTGGTTTTTTGTCCTTGTGATAGTTTACTGAGAATGATGGTTTCCAATTTCATCCATGTCCCTACAAAGGACATGAACTCATCATTTTTCATGGCTGCATAGTATTCCATGGTATATGTGTGCCACATTTTCTTAATCCAGTCTATCATTGTTGGACATTTGGGTTGGTTCCAAGTCTTTGCTATTGGGAATAGTGCCACAATAAACATACGTGTGCATGTGTCTTTATAGCAGCGTGATTTAGAGTCCTTTGGGTATATACCCAGTAATGGGATTGCTGGGTCAAATGGTATTTCTAGTTCTAGATCCCTGAGGAATTGCCACACTGACTTCCGCAATGGTTGAACTAGTTTACAGTCCCACCAACAGTGTCAAAGTGTTCCTATTTCTCCACATCCTCTCTAGCACCTGTTGTTTCCTAACTTTTTAATGATTGCCATTCTAACTGGTGTGAGATGGTATCTCATTGTGGTTTTGATTTGCATTTCTCTGATAGCCAGTGATGGTGAGCATTTTTTCATGTGTCTTTTGGCTGCGTAAATGTCTTCTTTTGAGAAGTGTCTGTTCATGTCCTTCGCCCACTTTTTGATGGGGTTGTTTGTTTTTGTCTTGTAAATTTGTTTGAGTTCATTGTAGATTCTGGATATTAGCCCTTTGTCAGATGAGTAGGTTGCAAAAATTTTCTCCCATTTTGTAGGTTGCCTGTTCAATCTGATGGTAGTTTCTTTTGCTGTGCAAAAGCTCTTTAGTTATTTAGATCCCATTTGTCAATTTTGCCTTTTGTTGGCATTGCTTTTGGTGTTTTAGACATGAAGTCCTTGCCCATGCCTATGTCCTGAATGGTAATGCCTAGGTTTTCTTCTAGGGTTTTTATGGTTTTAGGTCTAACATTTAAGTCTTTAATCCATCTTGAATTAAACTGGAGATTTCTTGAATAACTTAAAGTGGCTGAACCAATTTATACTTCCACCAATAGAGTGTAAGCATTTCCTTTTATCTGCAGCCTCACCATTCTCTGTTGTTTTTGGACTTTGCAATAATAGCCATTCTCACTAGTGTGAAATGGTATGTCATTGTGATTTTGATTTACATTTCTCTGATGATGAGTGATGCTGAGCATTTTTCCATATGTTTGTTAGCCACTTATATGTCTTCTTTTTGGAAGTGTCTATTTATATCTTTTACCCACTTTAAATGATGTTATTTGTTTTTTGCTTGTTGAATTGTTTAAGACTCTATAGATTATGGATATTAAACCTTTGTTAGATGCATAGTTTGCAAAAACTTTCTGCCATCTGTACATCGTTTATTTACTCTCTTGATAATTTATTTTGCTGTGCAGAAGCTTTTTAGTTTAAGTCTCACTTGTCAATTGTTGTTTTTTTACAACTGCTTTTATTTATTTATTTATTTTATTTTTGTTATTGTTGTTTTGAGACAGGGTCTCACTCTGTTGCCCTGGATGGAGTGCAACCTCCCAGGCTCAGGAAATCCTCCCACCTCAGCCTCCCAGGTAGCTGAGACTACAGGCACATGTCACTACAACTGGCTAATTTTTCTTTAAAATATTTTGTAGTCATGTGGTCTCACTATATTTCCCAGGCTCAAATTCCTTGGTTCAACTGATCCTCCAATCTTGGCCTCCCAATGTGTTAAGATTACAGGCATGAGCTACCATGCCTGGCCTGCAATAGCTTTTGAGTACTCATCTATAAATTCTTTCCCAGGGAAGAGGCAAAATTCTTTTTAATAGTTAGCACACACTGCAAACAACTCAGATTTCTAGCTATCAGTTTTGGAGGGTTTTAACAGTATGTGATGAACTGTAAGGGGGCTGACCTATTAGATCTTTCAAATATTGCTTCATTCTTTATAAACATTGCTGTTTCTGACACCTCATCTGCAAAGCAACCTAGCTAAAGTTCTAGTGATTTACCTGGTTTCTGCTTATGGTAGTCACACATTTCTTTCCTTTAATGCTTCATATAAGTATGCGTCTCTGTAACTGGCATCTAAAAGAGATGGAATCTTTGGCCCATTCAGGACAACTTCTTATAAAATTCTACTTATTATAATGGGGTCAACCTGAGACATTCCACAGGTTGGTGAAAAAAAATGCCCACATCTAGAACAATTTCATTAATACTCACGACATTTGTGCAGCTGTTTTTGAACCTATATCCCAGCACTCTCCTTACAACCACCTCTGAATTCCTTGTCATTAATATGCAATAAAATGGAGATTCATTTATTGCCTGGGTAACAATATAATTTGTTCAATATATTGCTACTGATTCTCATAGAATTCTCCCAAATCTCATTAATCAGTCCATGAGGACTTCATCTTTCCACTCCTTGAAAGCCATGTTTTTTTCAGCATTCTATGTATGCATAAGTTTTGTGGTTGTGCTGTGTCCTCCCCAAAGTCACTGACCAAGGTGTGGGGATTAGAGAATGAAATGTAACCAGTGCTACTAGTCAAGCCACATCCTGGGAGGCTGCATGGTCCTGGAGAAAGGCACATCTGCTTATGATTGGTCTACTTGGAGGGGCATTTATTTTCGGTTACTTATTCACAGGGTATAAGAAAGAGTCTCCATTTTTTATGTGCTGGTGATAGCTTTCAACCCTGCCTGTCCCGTTTGCCCTCTGGCCTCACATCTGGGCAAGCGGATACATCACAAGTGGTCCTCCCTTGGCACCTGGAAAGATCAAGCCACACAAGGCCCTGCTAACAAAGAACCTTCACTTCAACCCCACACCCTAGCCATCATAAAACCCCCACATCATTCTCGTTCCCGGGCTCTCTCAATCTGTTTTTAGTTGTGCCTAAGAGATACCATGCTCTTCCCGGAAGTCTCACTGTGTGAGTTTTAATGAATATGTTCTCATTCTAGTGGGGCATATATGGTGTCATAAGTCTCAATATGCAAACCAAATTTTGGGTAGAGGTTCATTTTGTTTCTGCAGAGTGGTCACAACAGAGGGGAAGCTTTTCTTCATTTCCCACAAATGCCCAGTATGTATGCTGCAAATTTATTATGTGGTTGTTCAAGAGACAATGACTTAGAGAAGTAGAAGCAAAAAATTACAAAAGGAACACAGAAGAGTAGGCAAGAGCAGCAGAAGGTAAAAGCAAGTGTAACTTAAGACAAGAAACCGGTGTTGAGCAAAGAGAGAATCTAGCAATGCTTGCATTACAGGAGTTGCGACAGGTGTAGTGGTTGTGCTGACTATTGCCAGAGAGAAATTATCACTCACTCTCCCATGTCCCTCTAGTGAACTGAAGACATTTAACTCAAGGGGAGGTACGGCTGATACCACTGATTATGTTGTCACCATGAGGATTCATAAGTTTTTCTGAAGTCTTTTCCAGAATTTTGTCAGGAGTAAACCATTATATTTCTATAAAACATTTTAAACGTTTTAAGTATTAGACCTAAATGCATTTTTTTCCAGTTTTAAGTCTAAGCCCTAAAGCTATGTAATGAGAATTTTTATTTTGCCTTTTGCTAGATATTTTTTCCTTATTGCATATCTTTCTATTAAAGAATAAATCTTGTTAAAAGACTGACATAAAAGCCTGTGGGTTTTATTGTAGAAGCAAATTTATTTTCTGGTTCATTTAATGATAATCAAATTATAGGAATAGTTAAAAAGTGAAAGTCAAGTCATTCAATCTAGCACAACCCAGGCAGCCACAATCATGACCTGAGGATACAAATTACTTCTATTGAAGCTATTTTATGAAGTATCCCTTTCTTTTGGGATGAAATTGTATTTGTATAAATGAACTTTTAAAAAACCGATTTTCATCTGTACATAGATGAAAGAATTAGATTATTTAGACAAATCAATGAAAGTTAAATGTAATGTTTGGCACTTTATAAACAAAATGACTAAATATTCATTTTTCAACTAGGCAGTGTATTATAAGTGTAATCAATGTCTTTTCTATCAGTGGCTAGCTACCAAGTCTTCATATACCTGAATAAAAATTGGTAATTTACTACATTTCATAATCATCACATAAAAATTTTAAAACATTCAAATCTATGACATTTGTGTACCTCTCAATTACTGGAACAGTAAAATTATATTCTAATAAATATAAAGATGTATATTTATACTTCTCTTAGCCAAATTTAGTTGTGCTTCAATTTCCATATTAGTTTTCAGCTTAGTTTAGTCATCTATTATGCTCAATGAATGTTGTTGTTATTGTGTAGTATGTTGTAAGTTTTTTTCGTTTGTTTTTTTGTTTTTGTTTTTGTTTTTGTGAAGCAGTCTCACTCTGTCACCCAGACTGGAGTGTAGTGCCACGATCTTGGCTCACTGGAACCTCTGCCTCCCAGGATCAAACAATTCTCCTGTCTCAGCCACTCGAGTAGCTGGGATTACAGGTGCCTGCCACCATGCCTGGGCAATTTTTGTATTTTTAGTAGAGACAGAGTTTCACCATGTTGGCCAGGCTGGTCATGAACTCCTGATCTTAAGTGATCCACCCAACTTGGCCTCCCAAAGTGCTGGAATTACACTGTGCCCAGCCTGTTATAGTATTGTTTTTGAAAGTTAGTCTCATCTTCTGTGGCTTGCAATAATCATTATCTTTGTCATCATCATCATCACCATCACTTGCAGGTAAAAATGTATTTTATATAGAAAATATTTCTAGTTTCAGATTACCGGACCAGGCATCAAAATATATGATTTCTAGTCAGGTACAAACCTTTCTGTAATGTATACTGTAGGTAAAGAGTAAAAATCTCCTGCAGTATACAAAAAAATGGGGGTGGGAATTATCTGCTGTAGATAACTATTATGTACTATTTGTACTGATACTCTTTTTCTTTTATTGGCTTTCCATATAGTAATTGCTACGTTTTGTAACAGGAACCTAACTTTAAAAGAGATGCTTTACATGCATACTATTTAAATATGTTTACATCGGAAAATGCATGCTTTATTACACTTTAGCTATTTGCAATTCACTATATCCTGCAATATATTGATGATAAGTTTTAAAAGCTGGCAGAGGCAATAATGGATGGAATGCTGAATATAATAAGTGGCCTCTCTCTGAAAGATTTAAATCAATACCAACAATCAAGAGAAAGAATTTGCAATGAGAAGTTCTTTGAATTTTATAACTTGGCCTCAAATAATAGATTTAAACAAGATTCAATGACTGATAATAAAAAAGAATCACTCTTCATCTAAAATTCATAAATGTATATGGAAATTTATAGCCTATTATATTTTATTGCATTGAATTTTTTTCCTCTTACATTTGTGATTTATGAAAAATCATTCAGCTTAAAATTAAAACAATTACATCTATTTAGTAGGGACATTTCTATGAACCCAATCATCTCAATTATTAGGTGAAAGCTAGAAACTGATATCTTAATTTGCTTTTTGTAGTTGAATTACTTATTTTGTTTTCAATTATCTATCCTGGATGGAGGATGGGTAGAGAAGTCAACAATCCCTAGATATGGTTGATCATATTTTCAATTCAGGTAGGTGGCATCGAACTCTGTTAGAAACAACAGAATATTCCATCATTCTCCTCTCCTTCAGGTTAGCCTCCCTTCTCCCATGGGCTCTAACACAGCAAGTTTAAGTCTTTTGGGAATTTAGGGTAGAAACAAATGCTAATTTTACAAATATGTCTTAAAAACAATGAAATATAGCTTATATGCAATGAAATAAAAATAACTTCTTGAATGTTTTAATTCATTTTTAGATATCAGAAATATAATTTAATAGTATACAGTTTTAACACGTTTATTCACGTTTCTGATTTTCTAATTTTTCCCCTTCTAATTTTTTAACTTCTTCATGTTTTCAGTCCATTTTTACAGATATGCCATGCTATGTCTTCTCTATGTTACTGTTACTTTCCAAAGACATTGTCCTCTACAAATTGTTCTTCTTGCAACCTAGATCTTTGTAGCAGTTATATTTCAAAAAAATAGAGAATATAATTCTAGATCATCTGCATTTTATGTCAGCAGCATTTCCTTTGAGGCACAGTAAAAGGGTACATCTGCATCATTATAACTTAAAATGACGAATGATTAATCTTTTTATTTCAGATGTTGCACAGCAGAGCTTTCTGAGAAGTCATTTGTTTTTCATTCATCAAAAATTTGTTTTATTTACAATGGATAGTACATACTCCATCATTAAATTTTGGCCTGAAAAGATGGTTTATATATTCTACTCTAGCACTATTTAGTGTGATGGCAAAAAAGTAAAATTTCAGGACATCTAAGATTGTTGAAGCTGTTTATCTACAATTACTATTTTATTTAGACATGAATAAGTAAAATAATGTAAAAATAATGCTGGGGAAATACAGAAAATGTTTTACGATCAAATAAAAAATAATGTAGTTACTTGGGCTGGAGAGTGGGTCAAAAGATTAGTAGTGTCTGATTTAAAACCAACAAGTAAGTACCAAGTTATATATAAATAGAATTTAAACTTTTATTTTAAAACAGCATTACAATCAACATTCCCAGAAAATTTCCACAATGAAGAAGCTGGATATTTCAAATTAATAAAAATAAAATTATCTAATGGAATGATAATTTTTAAGAATATACACTGTGATACTAAATATCATTCGTATATAACTGTTTATTTCTGAGAAGCCATATGATAGTCACTTTATGATCTTTGTTTCACATAGATTTGTATGTAAACTGGTGAGTTCAAGAATTGTATTTATTCATAGTGACTATAATTAAAATAATTGCTACAGGTGGATTTACTTGGTTAAAATACCCATGTTTTACTACTTAATATAAACAACCAAATTTCAATCAAGTAGGACTGTTTGTTTAAAGGTGCATTTCTTCTATACACTATCCAGTAATAATAATAATTTTAACAACTATTATAATCATGAATTAGACACCAGGCTAAGCATCATGCATGCATTATAACCTCTTTTATTTTTATAGCCATCTGACATACCCACTACTACTCTCCCTATTTTTCCCAAGGGGAAACTGAAGCTGAAAGAAGTGATGTAACTTTCTTAAAGTCACACAACTGAAATGGTTAAAAAGCTTATTAATGGTATATTTAATACCATTAATAGCTAACTCTCACACTCTACGTACACATCTGATACCACTTAAACTAAGAATTCCATTTTATGATTTTGAACATTGTTTAGACATTAATTCATCCTTTTAAAAACACATACACATACATAGCTTAATTTTAATTTTATTTCTGATCTTAAAAATATTTAAACAGTGAATTAATTCTTATTTCATTCTTTTTTACCAATAAAGTATATAAATATTAAACAATATTATTTTATGTATGTTTTGTTTTCTCAATTATTTAAAGTATTTAAAATATGTTTTCACCTCAATAACTGTGAGATAAAATATAGTGATGTAGAAGCATTGCAGTATTAAAGAGATATCATGGTAACAGTTCCTTCCTCACTTATCCATAAGGTCAAAATTTGAATGTAATCAATATTGATATTAAAATATCTTTTGAGATATCAGTTAATCAACATTGAAAATATCTTTTGAGATATTATCAACTATTCTGGTACTATGTGAAACAAAGATCATAAAGTGACTATCATATGGCTTCTCAGAAATAAACAGTTATATACAAATGATATTTAGTATCACAGTGTATATTCTTAAAAATTATCATTCCATTAGATAATTTTATTTTTATTAATTTGAAATATCCAGCTTCTTCATTGTGGAAATTTTCTGGGAATGTTGATTGTAATGCTGTTTTAAAATAAAAGTTTAAATTCTATTTATATATAACTTGGTACTTACTTGTTGGTTTTAAATCAGACACTACTAATCTTTTGACCCACTCTCCAGCCCAAGTAACTACATTATTTTTTATTTGATCGTGAAACATTTTCTGTATTTCCCCAGCATTATTTTTACAAGCTCTTAGAAATAAAATGTATGGTATTAAGTTCTTATATCACTTTCTTTCCTTTGACCCTGCCACACTTCCCATTCATCATGCGTTCATTTATTCCTTTAGTGCTTTATGAGTGCAATATAAGTGCCAAACACTGTACTGGGAACTAGTAAGACAAAGAGTAATAAGACATACTCCTTCCCTTAACAACTATAAGTTTCTGAAGAAGGTAGATTTAGCAAGTAATAAGTACAAAGAAATTGAAGTTTACTGAAATACAAGCATGTACAAAATTCTACTATATCACAGAAAAAAGTCTATATGTAGAGAAATCAGGAAGTGTTTCCAAAATAAGTAATATTTTAGTGAGATCTGAGCAATTTTCCAGATGAAGAAGAGGAAAGACATTTCAAGCAAAATAAACAGTAGGTACATATGCGGGGATAAAACCCTGCTACTTGTTGGAAGTATGGAATAGTATCTCAGTATGGGAATGAAGGAAACAAGAGAAAATATATACAGATACCTAAACAGTATACACTATGCATGAGACACTCAGTTATTTAAATAGATTTTATAGTATTGTTAATAATAAACTGCCTAGATAGTGTAAGGTGAAAATAATTAGCATAATTAGGAAAAATTTAGCGAGGAGTAAAATTTGTTATATATCTATCACAGTAGTTCAGGAAAGAGATGATGAAGCCTGATTTAATACTTTGTCAATTCATATAAATAAAGTGAGTAGAATCTAATGATAATGAAGTGACCAATTTTACATTTAGTGACCAATTAATAATAAGATGATGAGACAGAAATAAAGAATAAAAATGAGTAATACACTACTTTGAGCTAAAATAACCCTAAATTTAGTATGGCATATCAAATAATGAAGTCACTTGAGATGGAAAACTCAGTAACTCAGAAAATTAAAACACTAGCTAAGATTTGTACATCATCAATTTTACAGTTATTTGGAGCTTTCAGATGCTTGAGAATGTGAATTTGTCAATTTAGAGTGATTTTTGGGTTTTCATACCTATTCATTTATTCCTTAATAAATAGTTATTGAGTGCCTACTATATGTGCTAAATTCATTGATAAATAAGATGGATAGATAAATGAGATAGATTAGCTACCTTCCCTCTGGTAGCTTATATTCTATCTGGAGGGGAAATGAACAATACATAAAGAAGCAAACAAAGTAAATTCAGACATAAAGATATGCATTAAGAAAAAGAGGGAAGTTTTCAATATGGTGGAATATGGAAGAAACACAATGATAGGAAGAATTTACTTCAGGCTGCTCTCTCTGTGGAGGTAGCATTCAAGCTGAGACCAAAATGACAAACATGAAGAGAAGCACCTTCCAGGACAATCAAGGGCAAATTAAAATATTCTTGCTAATTCAAGAAAATAAAGAACTGTATAGTAAGACAGGTATAATTGTTTTGTGATATGCAGATTCGGAACAGTTGTTTTAGTTCGGGTTCCCAGGAAACAAGAGATTAGCATTCAGGACTCCATTGGGGAGTGGATCTCAGATAAAGCATCTAAATGGGAGTGAAACAAGTAGAACTGTGTACAGTGAGAATCTTTATGACTCTTTCAAGAAGATTTTGTCCAAATCTGATTTATAGTTTTAAGAAAGTTGTCCCTGCTACTGTGTATAGGAATTGAAGAAAGAATTGATGTGGAATCTGGAAGATGAATGAGTAGTCGAATATTTGAGCAATCCAGTTGAGTGTTGAGTGATGACAATGGTTAGGTCAAGGGTAACAGGAGTAGACAGAAAATAATAGGAGCTAAGACTAAGGGTTGGAGAAGCTAAGGCTAGATTTCTAAAGAATAATATTACTCAAAGCAAAACAGAAGTAATAAAAAATAAAAGGACACTAAGAGCTACAAAGTAAACTAGGAGAGAATGGTAAGGGAGTGGAATCATGTAACTGTAACAAGTTTTGTGTTTCAACAAAGAGAAAAAGATTGACCATTATCAAATGCCGTAGAGAAATCTGACAAGATGAAAGACAGGATTTTCCACTGATTAGTTTATCTATGCTAGACTCGTGTGTGATGGGATGGAAGGCAGTGTAATTGAAAGAAAAGGAAAAGGGACCTGAGGAAAGGAGTAGGAAAAAGTAACTTACTAGCTGTAGGTAAACAGAGGAAAGTTTTTTTTTTTTTAAGTGGCATATAGGGATAGAAAGGAATTTTTTAGTTTATTTTCATAGGTTTGTTTATAAAGAGAAAGTTATCAAAGTGGCTTTTAGGAGCACACAGAGACACAAATATATACACCAAAAAACCAGAACACAAAGTTGATAAAGGACAGGTTGAAGACAAAGAAATATGTTTCTATAATCAATCCTCCGTCATAAACATTAGCATTGCTTAGATATATGTGGAGGTAGAAAGGGCTGTAAGTAAAAAAGCTCAAATCAAATCAATCTCATTTCCATGGGGAACTGTAAGACAAAATTGAAAGGGAAAAACACATTATGAAATGGTTACATCATGACATAACTTGCAGATGGATTTTTCAAAAATATTAATATGCACATTAAAGATGATTTCAGTTATCTTACACTAAGATTTACAATAAAACATCTTTAAAAAACACTCAACCACAAATGAACTCAAAGTTTTGATCCTTACTCTGAGAGTACTTGGTAGCAGAGAGACAGTGTGGACAAAGCCTGCGTTTACATACATCAGATGCCTTCGTTCTTTACTTATTAAACTATGTGAGACATTTAAAAAATTATTCAAAATTTGCATCTTTGTTGATGGAGCCTCATTTTTCTATTGCTTGATTACTTTCTCAGTAGTCAACATTGGCTTTCCATGGTCATAACACAAATAAACTGAGTAAGAGATAACAGCTTCTACATGTAACTGTTCATCTATAATTAACATAGTCATTGTACAATTGCATAATTGGTATTTAGGATAAATAGTAAGATCAATATATGCTTACCAGACTTGGAGTAGTATCATCAACTCAAAAAATAGAATTATACTATATTCATGAATTCCATTTAAATACCTAAAAGTTTACTTATGATAAGAGATATGTACTCATTTTCGTATGGCTTTTTATTTTGTAATTTTTTAATAGAATCACTTTTTTTAATATAGCATATTAAAATGCAAATCATGAATTGTTATAAACAAGAAAGTTTATTTAAAATAGCCTGTGCAAATGAAACTATATTCATCTAGTTTGGCTTTTATAACCTGGGTGAGCTATCAGTAGTGACTGAAAATTTAACTATTTTTCTTCCAGTCATTTCTGAGGTTTAAAAACAATTTATATTGTATAATTTATAACATAAAGACTACCACATTCTAAAAGTTTTTTTAACATCAGATATAAAATGCATGGAAGAATGACAGAAAGACCATTACGAATTCTATTTTGGGTATTATAATGGAGATAATATGCTGCAATTTAGTTTAATGAGTTACAATTAAGAAACTGTTTCAAGAGTTGCATGTGATTTCTTTTAATTATTAGTTATTAGTTGTTCCTGCATAAGTATATTTAAAAATCACATTATTTTAACTGTAGTAAAGGAAAAAATCTCCCATATATTAATATTTCTCATGTACTATAACTATTAAAATTTAAAAAGGAAATACAGTACTTTTTAACTTCTGGCACATCAGGAAGTCATTTTTAGGAGGGCTATTACTTGTGAAATGGGAAGAACACATACCTATGTATGCAATTTGGGCATATTTTGACAAAAATCTAAAAGACTTAATACTGAATATTTATCCATCCAGAAAGTACTGCCATTTTGTATAATGAATCAAATATTTAAAATAACTGATTAAATATGTGACTTACTCTATTATTTGGCCAGGGTTGCCATAACAGAATACCACAGACTGGGTGGCTTACACAGCAAAAAATCTATTTTCTCACAGCTCTGGAAGCTGGAAGTCTAAGATCAAGAGACTGGAAAATGTGGTTTCTGGTAAATCCTCTCTTGCTGGCTTGCAAATAGCCTTTCCTCTGCTAGTGCAGGTGGAGGGAAGAGGGTATTTCTGGTGTCTCTTCCTTTTTTTATAAGGACAACAGTCCTATTGGATTATTGCCCCACCTTTATGACCTCATTTAGCTTAGTCACCTCTTTAAAAGCCCTATTTCCCAATACAATCACACTGGGGATTAGGGCTTTAACATATGAATGTTGGGAGTTGCAGGGAGACACCCTTCAGTTTATAACACTATGCTAAATAATCTTTCAGTTTTAGAATGAGAAAATATTAATCTAAGACTCTACAACAATCAACACAGATATTTCCATTTTATCTTAGAGAAAGATGAAAATTCACTGAAATTAATTTCGATTTTGGAATTTTTAAAAGAAAACTTTTTCTACCCTGATTCTATAGTACACATGCCACATTGCTTTGAAAAGTTTGAAAATATAGAAAATACAAAAGCAGTACTACTATGTTTCATTTTCTGTTTATATGTATACAAATCATGAATTAACCAACTGAAAAACAGAATATAAAGTTTTGCAAAATGTGGAAATATCTCAAAGATTGAATGACTAAAAATAAAATCTTGATTAATCTTCATATGAAAAACTATGTGTACTTTCATAACTAAGAGTAGTTTGGCCACAGATATACTAAGAAATATGAAATACTGCAATAAAGTATTCAATATTCTTAATGTTGTAAGTATGTATATATTATTATGTCAATCACACTGTATTTATAGTATGAATAAAATATGTTATGTAGAAATACTTAAAAATTCACTAGGCAAATTATATGACTTTTTTTCCCTTATATGCATCATCGTTATGTGAAAAATTGTGTAAATAGTTATTGAAATTCTTTCCCCTAAGCTCTACTTGTTTATTGCAACATCACCAGCACATAATAGTCATGTTATGCATAGTGGGAATTCAATAAATATATGCTGAAAAGATAGATGAACACATGTTTTTATTAAAAGTTTTATTATAAGATCATAACACTTTTATATGTATATTCTGGACCCTTTTAGGAATTATTTATTGCACTTCGCATGATTCTTGATTTTCTCAACTGAGCGTTGTATAAAATTTGAGGTTGAAAGAGAATAATAGTATATGCCCAAGAGACTGTGGGAGGGCCTCACCTCGTAATAGCAGGACAAGCCGGTCAGACACAGCTCCATATACTAGGATTTCTCCTCAAAGAGGAAATTGATATTTACTTCCCTTCCCATATTCTGGCTGAGATTTTCAAGTATTTTGTTTACCTTTTGTTTATAGTTACCATTCGAGTTAAGCAGTATGTTTGGATGAGTTTTATTCTACCAAGACTTAAAACAAACGATGCCATGACACACTCTTTAGTGTATCATTATATAAGAGAAACTTCGAAGTCCTATAGTAAATTGATTTATTTCACTTTGCTTAATGTCACTTATACCAACATAATTGGCTCATATATAACATTTTCTGGTTTCCTCAGGACTTATGTCATGAGAAATATATTTGGATAAAAACACGTGTACAGCGAACAGCTCTCAAACCCTTTCATGAATTAAGGTTTGAGAAGAATAATGGAAATGGAAACATGGAAGACGAATAATCTGCTGAACATAATAGAATAATATTAAAATAGGCCTTTTTAGGGCTATGTAATATTCAATCTAAACAAAAACAGCCTTAAGCAAATTGTTCTTTAGGATAGAGAAAAATTCAAGGTAGTCCATTGCATAAACTAACATCAGAAATTCAGAATCTGAAGGGGACAGGGGCTTTCTCAATGATAAAATGTCATAATACTTCTAATAATATGTAATTCCTTGATTTACTTCATTCTCAAAATATGAAAAATATTCAAATGGGTAAACAGATTGAATTAGGGAGAAATGTAAATAAAAAGCAACATGACACATTTTATACTGAATGAAACGATCATGTTTCCTACATCAAGTATAAAAACATCAGCCGGGCACGGTGGCTCACGCCTGTAATACCAGCAGTTTGGGAGGCCAAGACGGGCGGATCTCAAGGTCAGGAGATCAAAATCATCCTGGCTAACACAGTGAAACCCTGCCTCTACTTAAAATACAAAAAATCAGCCAGGCATGGTGGCACACGCCTGTGGTCCCAGCTACTCGGTAGGCTAAGGCAGGAGAATCGTTTGAACCTGGGAGATGGAGGTTTCAGTGAGCCGAGATCGCACCACTGCATTCCAGCCTGGAGACGGAGCAAGACTCCATCTCAAATAAATAAATAAATAAATAAATAAATAAATAAATAAATGTATGTAAACATCATGGTAAATTCTCTGCAAACTAAAAACACAAAAATAAAACAAAATCAAATACCCAAAACCAATAATGGTTTTTGTTTTTCACTTTATGCATTAGACCAACAATAAAGGTATGAGGCAATAGCTGCATTTTATTTCAGATGTGATGGGAGCAAAGAAATAACACAATCAGGTTTAAGTTTTTAAGAGATTCACTCTGGCTGCTGTGGGAGAATCAACTCACACGAGTTGGTGGTACAACGATTCAAAGCACATAATGAGTTAGGAAGCTAAGTAATTCTCTAGGGGAGACTAAATGTTTGCTTGGAATAGGATGTTACTGACAGAGGTAAAAGTGGGGAGGAATGCATATTTGGTCTGTATTTTAACATCAAACCATCAGTATTTTATGACAGTTGATGCAAAGCATAAGCGAAAATATGAGTTAAGTTCATGCTTTTTCATGGGAATAACTGGATGAAGAGAAGGGTCATTTACTTAAATAGGGAATTCTGGTAAGGAGTAGATTTTGGAGAAAAAAGAATCAAGATTATTTCATAGTAGATGCCTTTTGGGAGTTCTAGTCAACTAAGCAGTGAGTCAGTGAGTTTATAATATATGGTAAAGCTGACAGACATCTATTATTACAGTTTTTAAGAGTAATTATTGCAAATGCAGATTTAGAAAATTAGTTCTAAACACAGCTATAGGAAAGCCAACATTTGGTTATAAAGAAAGAAAAAAGCCAGTTAAAGAACATTTTGATGTGCAATAAGAATTTGTGTAATATATTCATTCACTCTATAAATGTGATTACTATGAGGTTTGTATTATTAACTCTTGGTAATTCAAATACAGGCAAAACTGATCAAGAACCTCCCCTCAGATTTTAGAATGTAGTGATAAAGATGAATATTTATTATATTCATTGATGAAAACACATAGGGCTCTAAAATAAGCAATAATAATTAGAACAGTTCTTCCCTGGGTGAAAGATGAAGATCTCGCTGAGGAAATATGAATACTTTGCAGTTGATCAGTTCATATAGGAAGAGTAAGGAGGAGGTAGAATTTCTGGGAGGATTTCATGGAACAAAGCAAGAGTTTATCACTCACAGAATTAGAAAAGTTTGAGTATAAAATAGAATTTCTTGATACTGAATAAGGTAGAAGTATTTTAGCAGCATGTAACTAGTTTTGCTAAAATGATCTGCATTGAAACTAGGTGGTAAAGTGTCTGAAGATAGTTTCACAGGAGAGGGAATCAGAGCATTTGATAAATGTGGAAGAAGAATGCCAGTGGAAAGGTTATTGCTGCAGTTTTGCCTGAAGTGCAACATGTTCCTTACTTCCTTACGGGTGAAAATGTAATGCTTGTTTTAGTCCTTGTTGCAGAGTTAAAACCCAGAATATGATGACAGGGTCCCCTTAATATTTCTTTTTAATGTTGTATTCCCTGGGGAATACACCTTTCAAGGGAAATGCTGCTATAAAATTACTAATTAATATTTGGCAAGGAATTTGTAAAAGTGTGTATTCCCAGACATGTCATAAAACACCTTGGTTAGAATGTAAAATCAAGGCTACAGTACACCTATTAAAAGGATTTATAACTATTTTTTAACTTAGAGTGGAGATGGAAAGAACACCAGGCAACTGTTAAGAGGTTGAAAGTAGGAAATATGCTCTACTATTTATCAAAAAGAAGGCACTAGGGATATAGAATTTATTTTAAACTGCTTAAAGATATTAAAGAATTAAACAAGATTGGAAATGATATTTTGAAACTGGACCATACTTTGTAATTCAATGAATAGTCTAATATTTTGAAAATCAGGAGTATTTGCAATCGAGATGACTATTTGTGAAACAATGATAGCATTATATTTGGTATTTTTTAATATTACACTAAATTTGGAAGGAGGAAAGTCTCCAAAAAAGAAACACAGAAGCACTCATCACTATCAGCATAGACACATACAGCCTGAAGCCTCAATATATAATCTAAATGTCAGTTTTCAACCTCAGTGATTTCTTATAAATTAAAATGCTTGGTATAGGAATAAAAATGTTTATTACAAAACAAGGCAACAAATACATAACAAAATTTTACCTGGGAATTTGTCATCTGTAGCAGGGGTCCCCAGCCCCCAGGCCACCATAGCCTGTTAGGAACTGGGCCTCACAGCAGGATGTGAGTGATGGGTGAGGGAGCATTACTGCCTGAGCACCACCTCCTGTCAGATCAGTGGTGGCATTAGATTCTCATAGGAGTGAGAACCCTATTGTGAACTTTGCATGCAAGGGATCTAAGTTGCACACTCATTATAAGAATCTAATGCCTGATGATCTGAGGTGGAACAGTTTCATCCTGAACACCCTCCCCCACTGCTCAGCCATGGAAAAAATTATCTTCCATGAAACTGGTCCCTGGTGCCAAAAAGGTTGGGGACTGCTCATATATAGGAATGAGAATGTTACCATAAATGTTTAAGTAGAATTAAATTATATGTGATTCTATGCACACAAAATAAAAATATACATTTTGTTTAGATTTTGTGCAAGTTTTATTTCTGCCAACTAAAATATTGCATTCAACCAAAATTTAAGTTATCAGATGTAAAAAGCTACCATAAATTGGATAGAATGGAGACTTTAATTCCATAACTAAGTAGAAAATTGTCACTTTGCAAGGAATTTCCTAGTTCATGGTCATGATCTTCTAAGTGTGAAGGAATTCTCATAATGTTGCTACTACTACTGCTAACACTATTACCATTACCGCTGCTACCACCACTACTATCACTAATAATATTATTAATCCTAGTAAAATAGTAATTACAACAGCAAACATTGCTGAATGTTTACAGTGTCTTCAGTGCTGTGCTGGACATTTACAAAATGTTGTCTAAATTATTTTTCATCTTAATCATAGCAGGTAGGTGTTATTATTACCCTCATTGTACAGCTAATGAAATGTACTCAAGTTCACATAGTTAGTGAAGAGCAGACAGTATCTGAACACAAAACTATGTGTTGCTATAATCTACTGTCTTCACTATAAGTCTGAACCTTCTTTGATTGGCTGCTGCTGAAAAGACTCAAATCTACTTCACAATGAAAATTTTAAGATGTGTTAGTGGAATTAAAACACAGTGACAAAACAGAGGAGGCCAGATCAAATCATTGCTAACAAAGTAAATTGAGAGTTTTGTTTTTAAGTAAGTTTTGCTGAAATATTTCTTTTGATAATTGGAGTTACTATTTATCAAAAAAATGTGTTACTCTCTCTGTATTAAAATTACAAGGACTGCTTGAGTAAGAGTAAGGCTATGTTCTTTTGGCTTAGGATTGACTTGGCAATGAGGGCTCTTTTTTGGTTCCACATGAACTTGAAAGTAGTTTTTTCCAATTCTGTGAAGAAACTCATTGGTAGCTTGATGGGGATGGCATTGAATGTATAAATTACCTTGGGCAGTATGGCCATTTTCACAATATTGAGTCTTCCTATCCATGAGCATGGAATGTTCTTCCATTTGTTTGTGTTCTCTTTTATTTCATTGAGCAGTGGTTTGTAGTTCTCCTTGAAGAGGTCCTTCACATTCCTTGTAAGTTGGATTCCTAGGTATTTTGTTCTCTTTGAAGCAATGGTGAATGGGAGTTCACTCATGATTTGGCTCTATGTTTCTGTTATTGGTGTATAAGAATGCTTGTGATTTTTGCATATTGATTTTGTATCCTGAGACTTTGCTGAAGTTGCTTATCAGCTGAAGGAGATTTTGGGCTGAGACAATGGGGTTTTCTAGATGTACAATCTAAGCCAAAAGAACAAAGCTGGAGGCATCACGCTGCCTGACTTCAAACTATGCTACAAGGCTACAGTAACCAAAACAGCATGGTACTGTATCAAAACAGAGATATAGACCAATGGAACAGAACAGAGCCCTCAGAAATAATACCACATATCTACAACTATCTGATCTTTGACAAACCTGACAAAAACAAGAAATGGGGAAATGATTCCCTATTTAACAAATGGTGCTGGGAAAACTGGCTAGCCATATGTAGAAAGCTGAAACTGGATCTCTTCCTTACACCTTATACAAAAATTAATTCAAGATGGATTAAAGACTTAAATGTTAGACCTAAAACCATAAAAACCCTAGAAGAAAACACAGGCAATGCCATTCAGGACATAGGCATGGGCAAGGACTTCATGTCTAAAACACCAAAAGCAATGGCAACAAAACCTAAAATTGACAAATGGGATCTAATTAAACTAAAGAGCTTCTGCACAGCAAAAGAAACTACCATCAGAGTGAACAGGCAACCTACAGAATGGGAGAAAATTTTTGCAATCTACTCATCTGACAAAGGGCTAATATCCAGAATCTACAAAAAACTCAAACAAATTTACAGGAAAAAAACAACCCCATCAAAAAGTGGGCAAAGGATATGAACAGACACTTCTCAAAAGAAGACATTTATGCAGCCAAAAGACACATGAAAAAATGCTCATCATCACTGGCCATCAGAGAAATGCAAATCAAAACCACAATGAGATATCATCTCACACCAGTTAGAATGGCAATCATTAGAAAGTCAGGAAACAACAGATGCTGGAGAGGATGTGGAGAAATAGGAACACTTTTACACTGTTGGTGGGACTGTAAATTAGTTCAACAATTGTGGAAGTCAGTGTGGCGATTCCTCAGGGATCTAGAACTGGAAATACCATTTGACCCAGCCATCCCATTACTGGGTATATACCCAAAGGATTATAAATCATGCTGCTATAAAGACACATGCACACGTATGTTTATTGTGGCACTACTCACAGCAGCAAAGACTTGGAACCAACCCAAATGTCCTACAATGATAGACTGGATTAAGAAAATGTGGCACATATACACCATGGAATACTATGCAGCCATGAAAAATGATGAGTTCATGTCCTTTGTAGGGACATGGATGAAGCTGGAAACCATCATTCTCAGCAAACTATTGCAAGGACAAAAAACCAAACACCACATGTTCTCACTCATAGGTGGGAATTGAACAATGAGAACACTTGGACACCGGAAGGGGAACATCACACACCTGGGCCTGTTGTGGGGTGGGAGAAGGGGGGAGGGATAGCATTAGGAGATATGCCTAATGTAAATGACGAGTTAATGGGTACAGCACACCAGCATGGCACATGTATACATATGTAACAAACCTGCACGTTGTGCACATGTACCTTAGAACTTAAAGTATAATAAAAAATGTATATATAAAAGAAAGAAAATCATTCTACAAAATAAAGTAATAAATAAAAGTTAAAAAAAAGAATAAGGCTAATGGATATGCTAAGACCCAACTGCAGAAATTTATAGAGTTTGTTTAAATAGCTCAGCCAATTTTACATGGAAGGTATCAAAACAGATGCTGCTGAGTTATCTCTCCTACTTAGAGAGTTATCCATGATGAAGAAGTAATAAAGAGACTATAATAGACATGGTATTTTGAGATTTCCCACAAATTCCCATGAGGATTTATTTAAGACCTTATAATCAAACATACAGAAAATTTTGGAAAATCAAAGATGAATGGTGTTTCCATGTGAAAGAATGGCCCAAATAACTCTACAGAATTTTTTCGCATTTGCTTCGTCACATACCCAGTATCTGAACTAGAATCATGTATGCTAACTGGTTCCTATGAACACAGTGGAGGTTTATTTCTCCTACAAAGGAATATATCCTTGGGACTCAGTCCTTTAAACACTCACTGTAAATTATCTGCAGACAGAGTTACAGTCATCCTCCCACTCATGTCAAATCCCTGAAAATTATATTATTTTCTCAAGTAATATACTTATTTGAAATGTGTATGTATTCATGGTGAATAACATATGGCTGACATACATTTTAAGAAAATGTTTGTTCATCAAATATCTTTAGCAAAGATAAGCCTGAAGTTGAATGGTATGCAAATTTTAAAAATGTTCTTCTTTATGAATGGTTGGTTAGAAGACGAAAAAAAAAAGAGGAGGAAGAGAAGGAGGAAAGAGAGAGAGAGAGAAAGAGGGGGGCAGAGAGGAAGAGAGGAAGGAATGAAGGGAGGGAGGGATGGAGGGGGTGGGGGGAGGTAGGGAGGGAGGGAAAGAAGGAGAAAAAGACAGAGAACTTGAGAGTTTTAGTGAGGTTATAAATGTCCTAGTTCTTCACGCTAATTGGTTGAAGGCAAGTCAAGGCCAAGTGTGGAAATCAATTATGTTTTAAAAAGTGCTAAAATTCAAATTTAGTCTCACTGAAATTAATATATAATCCAATAAAGTAAAATTATAAGAAATATCCATTAATGGAAATGTGCCTCATTGATAATAATAAAATTTAAAAAGAAAATTAAGTAAATATGTAACATCTTAATTAGCATTTCAAAGTACAAGTAAAAAAATAAACTGACTTAGCACATTTATTTGCTAAGCATTCCGTCTTCAAGAAAAGATAGGAAAAGTTGTTATGTTTCTGGAATGAACCTAAAGTAACACGGAAGAATTAGTTACCAACAAGTAAATGATGGGTACTTTTAATTTTAATTTAGCTTTTGATGAATTAAATTGTTTTTACTTAATTACTTTTCACCCTATATCCTTTTTAATTAACTGCAGTTAATGTCAACATTTCAAGGCATTTACTTTTTCATCCTTCACTGTATTTAGTAAGATGTCTTGTTCAGGCAAGAAAAGAAAAGGATTTTCAATGTGTCTGTTAATTTGCTTGTTCAGAACTAAATGAATAATATTATCTGTTCTTGTGTATACCGGATCCTTGAGTAAGCAGTCTTCTACAGAATGCTCTATAGGCTTTTTGCTATATTTGTCTTTAAAGACAATCTAAATCTCATTGTTTACAACTAGAACCATCAGTTACGGGGTCTTGGGCTTAAGCTTGGAGTTCCTTCATAGGTACAGATCACAGGATATGAACCCAAAGTAGGGACTCAAAGAATGCTGAGAGATCATGCCTCACTTTGGTAGACACTAATATTTTACGTCTTTAATCCATTTCCTAATTTTCAACAGTAATAAAAATTTTAGAGCATCGTATGATTCCCTTAGCATTGAGGAATACATTCCACAACCTCCTTTGCAGCAAGTGTGAGCATGTTAGAAGGAGTTTTGTGGAAGCTTCAGGCACATATACTAAAAAACAGCTGAGGCTATTCTTGATCCCTCTCCTTCATTTCTTCATCTATCCAGTGATTGTAGTATTTGCTATTTTGGATTATGAAGATAAGAAAGTACATAATGAATACGGGGATAGAAAGATTGTGAGTCAGACCAACCTTGAAATGCATATTGGAAATTTTATAGAAAAAGGAAGTAAATGTTTATCCTGTTTGGCATCTTTTATTCAATTTTTTAAAGTTTTTTGTTATTTTGAGTCAAACTAAATACTAACTACTACTCCATTTTTAGTAGCATTATATGTCTTCACCTGAAAGGAAATCAGCAATAATTTGGGGCCCTTATATTTGCTATTTTCATTAACTATTTGTTTCCTATAATAAAAAAAATCCTATAAATTAATTTCACTATCAAATTTACCTGATATCTCCCCTACTGTCCAAAACTCATGTCTGAAACATTTTATTCACGTCTTTTGACATAGCTCCCTATACAGTCAGGGCCTACATTTGAATTACACTGCCTAGTTATATCCAAGTTTTCCTTTTTAACTTTGTGCATCTATCTTGAAACACTTTGAAAAGCGTTCACCATCAACAGTATTTTCTATTAGAAGCATAACAAAATAATAACAGCTAACATTCATGAATATTTTCCACATGGATGTACTTGAATTAATGTTATCTGATTTAATCTCCACAATAACGCAATAAGGGAAGTAGCATTTTTATATTGATGATGAATAGGCTTAAAAAACATTAAATGACTTGCCAAAGATCACATACTTATTAGAATTGAGCAGCACAATAATATATTAATTAAATCACAGTTTATCTTTCCAAAAATGTATATTCAACACAAAATGGTTCCTAGTATCATTTACATTTTATGGGATCTGATTTTAAGCCAAATCAGTGGCTATAGAATTAGACTGAGAAAGTTTCTTGAGCCACGAGTGATTCATAGGATGACTAAACTCCTACAGATTTATGATGATAAAAACATGTTTGGTAAGTATAAGGGAGTAAATGATGAATTGTGAGACTCATAAAAATAGTCCTCAGCAGGTGAAACTGATTATTATTCAAGAAGCTAGAACATGACACATTTTTCAGATGCCTGAGCATGTAATACTCCAATACTAAAGAGTCAATCTATGCTATAGCTGGATTCTTTACATACTTTCATTAATATTGTCAAATGATGATTAAATAGATAATGCAGTGCAGTCTAAAAGTACACTGGCTGATTTGTTCCAATGTTGCTTGTATCTTCACAACAAAAACTGAAACTTGAGTTCAATTTTGAGTTATTAGCAGCAAACAGGACTACAATTATCTGGCATCTTATACTTAAGTAATCAAACTAATTGTTGTTTAGTAATTCATTCTTTAACTTATGTTAAGTATTGCCAGATTCATCACTTCTTTCTTACACTGACATGCTTGATATGAACAGCTAACTTTTGGATAGGGAGATTAAGGAAGGTTTTGAAAGGACTGAAGCTAATGTAATTTCAGGGTGTGGAGGGTAACTGTTTAAGAAAAACTATGCATAATTAAAACTGTAATATGAGGTGTAGGGACTTGAAAGGAGCCTGTTAAGTGAGGGTCCCTGTATTTTGTTCTTCACCAGTTTCTGCACATTCACTTTCTTAGAACAGCATACGTGTACACATTTATATATGTATATCCTATGATATTGTTTGGATGTATTGAATGCAATTTAAAACCAAGTTGAGATATAAAGTTTATTTTAAACTTAAAATAAGTTCATTAAGTAGATACTACTTAACGTAGTAATGCCTCAAATTTGGTAAGAAACACAAACCTCTAATAGGAAAAAAAAGACTTTTAAAAGATTTTTTAAAGTGACCTCCTCCCCTGCAAGGAAAGAAGGAAGGCAGGAAGGGAGGGAGAGAATGGGAGGGGGAATAAGAGAAAGACAAATTATCAGTTGCAATGAAAATAAATGTGATATGTATATGTAGGCTTTGTCAGTGCATTTTCACCCTGACTTCTAGAAATATTTTAACAGTATAGATGACGTAAATTTAAAATACAATTATGTTGTACCAAGCTCATCAACATTGGTATTATTCCTTTAAACACACACACACACACACACACACACACACACACACACACACACACACCCTTTGATAGTCAAAAAGTAAAAAGTGGCTTTTTTTTTTTTTTAAAGACAGATTCTTGCTCTGTCACCAGGCTAGAGTACAGTCGCACGATCTCGGCTCACTGCAACCGCCAACTCCCTGGTTCAAGCGATTCGCCTGCCTCAACCTCCCGAGTAGCTGGGATTACACGCATGGACCACCACGTCCAGCTAATTTTTGTATTTTTAGTGGAGATGGGGTTTCACCATGTTGGCCAGGATGGTCTCAATCTCCTGACCTCGTGATCTCCCCACCTCGGTCTCCCAAAGTGCTGGGATTATAGGCGTGAGCCACCGCTTTTATCGAATCACTCTTTATTAAATTTGAAAATATCATGTAGATTTGTTGGTTGTCTTATCTATAAGCTATACTTTCATTATTCTTTCTCAGTGTTCTAAAATGTAATAGATTTTTTAAAATTATTTGTTAAAATATGTATCTTGATATTGTTTAACTGAGGAAGTCATATATGTTGAATTTATTTTCTTTTTTATATCATTGAACTCTTTTATTTACAGTATTTTATGGAACTACATATCCATATCTTTCAGCTTTTCTCCTATAATTTGTGAACTGGATATAATGGTTAAAGAAACATTCACCATCCTAATATGTGAATATTAGTTTATGTTTTATTTAATACTTTTATAACCTATTGTATATTTGGCAAATATAGAATTTATTTATCAGTGATTGGATTAGAGTTACAGTTTTCTTTTTTCAAGCATTTATTCAGTTAACAAAATTGAATCATGTTATGTTCAGATAGACACTACGTATGCATACACATGTTTCAGCTTCTAATAATCATTGATCAGTAGATCTCTATTTCCTATTAGCATTACGTTATTAATTTTAACATCATACACAAAATGATCACAAACATATTTTATTCCAAAAAACTGTGGCCTTTTTAGTTATATATTCTTTAAATTCTCTTATTAATAGAGAATCGGCAATTTGACATTAAAGCTTAAATTTCTATACAGTGTGACTAAATGAAATTAATAAATTGAGTTCAGAAAGAATACCATTTTGTCCACATAAACTGTAAATTAACTCAGTCGTGATATAATATACTGTGTTTTGCATGTAATCAAACCCTCTATTAAAAGGATTACTTTCAAGAGTAATATGTCTCCACACAAGAGGGTATCTATGACAATGTGAATAACAGATACATTGAAAGGAAATGTTAAATCTGAGATTCAAGTCTGTCACCTGCCTGAAAAAGTATCCATTCTTACCTTTGGAATCAGATAAGAGTCATTGTGCTCAGCAAAGCATGAATTTCAAATAATCTGTTTTAATTTCCTGCAATTCACACCTGTATGTGTGCTCCCTGATACTTGGGTAAAAAGGGCAATTCCACTAAGACCTGGAGTGTCAATTCTCACAAATTCATAACTCCAAGTGAGCCTTAGAATAAATAGGTCAAGTTCTATTAAGAATCCAGTTGAGATGTTTATTAAAATTGCATTAAATTAAAAGAATAAGTTTGGAAGAAGTATTTACAGAATGATATTTCTTTCCATTTCCTCGGATCTGCCTTCACGTTCTTCATTGAAGGGAGGTTATGTTCCCCATGCAAGTCTGTCCTAACATTTCTAATAAAATTTTTAAAATAATTAATAATTTTGCTATATAAACGATATTTTTATTATGATATGATTCCTATATATGAAAGCTTGTGATTTATATATACATATCTTATGCTTACAGATATTTATACTTATATATTTTAGAATTTACATGTATAAATACATACATTTGCATATATATTTTTATTTATATATGTGAAACAAAACTTTATTTTAACTCTAATATTTTTTCAGCTTTACATGTATTATACAAAATTAATACAATTTTTGATCACCTATGCAATTTTTTACTTCAGGCTTTTTTTTTTCTTTTCTTACTTGGCTTGCACTTCCAGAGTAATAGCAAAAGAGATTTGTGGCTCCTGGGAAAATGTGAAATGTATGTGTTGGGAGAGGTGATTTGCCACAAACCCAGAGCATCCTTGACAACATATATGCCAAGATTGCAAGGCTTGACCACTTCTTTTTAAACTGGACCATTTTTCATGATTGTGTTTGGGGTAAACAACTTTGAGAGATGAGGTAATATCACCTCCTAGAACCAAAAGCAGGCTTCCTATTGCTTAGTCTGAAAGGGGTAGATTTCCTAGGTCCGTGTCCCTCAGCTGTGATGCAAACCTACTGAATGTGCAATATTGATCTAGCCCCTATATTGCTTCTTTGGGACTTGTCTGGAAAGGGAATTGAGGTACATGCCAATGCTTATGTTACTTGAAGTGCTGTCTTTTAAATCTAATCCAGAAGTCTCACATATTCTGTTTACATCATAAAACAATAATAGGTTAATGATTTGGTTTGGCCATGTCTCTACCTAAAATATCATCTTGAATTGTAATCCCCACATTCTCCATGTGTCAAGGGTGGGACCAGGTGGAGCTAATTGGATCATGGGGACAGATTCCCTCATGCTGTTCTCCTGATGGTGAGTGAGTCTCATGAGATCTGACGGTATTATAAGTGTCTGGCATTTCCCCTGCTTGCACTCAGTCCATCCTGCTGCCCTGTGAAGAAGGTGCCTGCTTCTCCTTTGCCTTTTACCATGATTGTAAGTTTCCTGAGGCCTCCTAAGACATGGGGAAGGGTGAGTCAATTAAGCCCCCTTCCTTTATAAATCACCCAGTCTTAATAGCACCATGAGAATGAACTAATATAGTAAGTTGGTACGAAGGTAGTGTGACACTGCTGTAAGGATACCCCAAAATGTGGAAGTGACTTTGAAACTGGGTAACAGGAAGAGGTTAGAACAGTTTGGAGAGCTTGGAAGAAGGCAGAAAAATGTGGGAAAGTTTGGAACTTACTGGAGACTTGTTGAATGGTTTTGACGAAAATGCTGATAACGATATAAACAATTACATCCAGGCAAAGGTGGTCTCTGATGGAGATGAAGAACTTGGTGGGAAATGGAGCAAAGGTCACTCTTGCTATGCTTTAGCAAAGAGACTGATGGCATTTTGTCTCTGCCCTAGGGAGCTGTGGAATTTTGAACTTGAGAGAGATGATTTAGGGTTTCTGGCGGAAGTGGTAAAGCATTAAAACAAAAGCAGAACATAAAAGTTTGGAAAATTTGCAGCCTGATGATGTTATAGAAAATAAAAGCCCATTTTCTGGAGAGAAATTTAAGCTGACTGCATAAATTTGCATAAGTAACGAGCAGGCAAATGTTAATCACTAAGACAATAGGAAAAATGTCTTCAGGGCAAGTCAAAGACCTACATGGCAGCCCCTCTCATTACAGGTCTGGAGGCCTAGGAGGGAAAAATAGTTTTGTGGGCCAGGCCCAGGACCCCCTGCTCTGTGCAGCCTCAGGACAATGGTGCCCTGTGCCCAGCTGCTTAAATTCCAGCAGTGGCTAAAAGGGGCCAAGGTACAACTTGGGTCATGGCTTCAGAGGGTGAAAGCCCCAAGCCTCGGTGGCTTCCATGTGGTGTTGAGCCTGTGGGTGCAGAGGAGTCAAAAACTGAGGTTGAGGAGTCCCTGTCTAGATTTCAGAGAATGTATAGAAACACCTGGATGTCTAGGTAGAAGTTTGCTACAGGAGCAGAGCCCTCATGCAGAACCTCTGCTAGGGTAGTGCAAAAAGGAAAGGTGGGGTTAGAGTCCCCACACAGCGTCCCCACTGGGGCACTGTCTTAGTAGAGCTGTGAGAAGAGGGCCATCCTCCAGACCTCAGAATGGTAGATCCATCAACAGCTTGCACTGTGCACTGGAAAAGCCACAGAGAGTCAACGCTAGCCTGTGAAAGCAGCCAGGAGTGGGGCTGTACCCTGCAAAGCCACAGAGATGGAGTTGCCCAAGGCTGTGGGGGCCACCTCTTGCATAACTGTGATCTGGATGTGAGACATGGAGTCAAAGGATATAATTTTGGAACTTTAAGATTTAATGACTGCCCTATTGGATTTTGGAGTTGCATAGGTCCTATAGCCCCTTTCTTTTGGCCAATTTCTCCCATTTGGAATGGGTACATGTACCCAATAGCTATACCCCTATTGTATCTAGGAAGTAACTAACTTGCTTTTGATTTTACAGGCTCATAGGCAAAAGGGACTTGTCTTCTTTCATATGAGACTTTGAACTTGGACTTTTGGGTTAATGCTGGAATGAGCTGAGACTTTGGGGGACTGTTGGAAAGGCATGGTTGTGTTTTAAAATGTGAGGACATGAGACTTAGGAGAGGCCAGGGATAATAATATGGTTTGGCTATGTCCCCAAACAGAATCTCATCTTGAACTGTATTCCCCATAATCGCCACGTGTCAAGGGCAGGACCAGGTGGAGGTAATTGGATCATGGGGACCATGCTACTCTCATGATAGTGAGTCTCATGAGATCTGATGATTTTATAAGCATCTGGCATTTCCCCTGCTTGCACTTGCTCTATCCTCCCACCCTGTGAAGAAGGTACCTGCTTCTCCTTTGCCTTCCACCATGATTGTAACTTCCTGAGTCCTCCTAGCAATGTGGAACTGTGAGGCAATTAAACCTTTTTCCTTTATAAATTACCCAGTCTCAGGTATTTCTTACAGCAGCATAAGAACAGTCTGGTACAGCTAACTTAATAGGTTGGATGTAGAGTAAAATTGAATCTTATTCTAAACTGTTTTGGTGATGAGTATGGGATGTTTACAGACACATCATTGTAAGTAAGAGAATGGGCAAGTAATCTACAAAGTAAGTTTGGGGATATGTACACATTCTTTGGAACTAAGTAGCATAAATTTCTACTTACGTGGTGGACTAGGTCCAAGCAAGAGTCTCTCAATATACTTCCTGGTTATAGGTTGAACAATGAGAGGTAGGAAGTAAACGAGTCCAGGAATAGTGCTTTGGTTGTTGCTTATTCCCTTCTATATAGGGGAAGGAAGGGATGCTATGGGGAATCCCCATAATAGTGGGAAAGCAAGCCCTGCTTCCACAGCTGGAAGGCAGTGTTTCTATGGTTATGGGGTTCCCCAAATTGAAATAAAATGTGTCATCAATAAGGACCTCAATAGTCACTACACAGCTTTGGATGAGCCAAAAATTTCAGAGGTTTCCTTGATTGGGCAGCTAGAAAGTGAATACTCAAATGTAAAACTGAAGGCAAAGTCTTACTTTCTAACATGAAGCTGCTCACCAGTGCTGACTAATTCACAGTGAGGCAGAGCTATAGAGGCATACACATGGCAGAAAGATAAGGGTCTCTTGATCTAGTTGCTTACTAGATGTTGGGCAGTACATAGAGAAAAAAGCAGCACTCTCTTGTTGGAACCAACTTTAGAATGGCCAAGGAAGAAAAAAAATATTCTACCTTACTGGCATTGACAGTCTACATCTTCTAACCTCCCCCTTTTCCCTGCACTCCATGAATTCTATTCTAGTCCCAGATTACCTCTATCCCTAATGCTGAAGAAGGAGGAAGCTCCAAAATACAGCTAATGAGATTTGGGCAGTTTTTTCAGTGAGGAAGGGAAGCTAACCTGGCCTTGATGTGAGGCCTTCTGTGATAATTCTGTGTATTCTTCTTGTGCTTTCTGCTTTTGAATGTACAACTGTTATGAATAAAGTGCAAGCCCTGTGAACACCCAGGAGTGTCAGGGGGAATTCTATTCAGAGACAGCCACATATAGGGAGATATTCTCTGTCTACTCCTATGAGTTTCAACAGAAGTAAAACAGAAAATCTGGAGAATGAAGAGTAACAATATTAGTTAAATAGTTGATGCTTCATAGAGTATTCAGAGATGTTATTTCCCAGTACAACAGCACCACCTGTCTCATGTAGCCACTAAGTGTAAATTTTAAAAATCCCAAACAACTGTTAACTAGCTACTAAACTCTTATTGAAACTGAATACAAGCTCAATGGAGTCACTGTGAAGTTTTTCTCACCTGAAGCTCTTATTTTGATGTTTGTCAACTTAGACTCAATGACTCATAAGGGAAGAGACTCTTCCCACTGAAACAATATATTCAAGAGTTCAGCTGGCTTGATTTTATTTGAAAAAGTGCAGTTACAACAGAAAGGACAACTGTACTTTCTGTTCCTACCACCTGAAGCAAAGCTGCTTGCTCTATGAGTTGTTGATTTACAAAGATCCCCCGAATGCCTGACTTGACGAAAGAGTGGTTTAAGTGAAATTCCTAGGACAAAAAGTGTGTAGAACTACATAGACACATATTAAAAATAATAATTTCACCTTCTCCATTCCTGGCATAAGGAATATTTCTTTTCCCTTAGTATGATCCCAAGCCAGCCTGATTAGAACAACTTTCAGGAATCAACACAGTCAAAGGAAGGTATAAGGCATTCCAGCTCAATGCCAGTTCAGCTACATGGATTCTCTGGTTGAACTGACATAGCCCTAGATCCTGAAGACATTGACATCTTGACTGAGAGTACTGTTTAATAGGTCCCCCTAGAGTGCCCCTCTCAAACCAAGGTGAAGGGTGTAATGCAGCTCTAAAAATTGTATTGAAGTGTACTGTTCCACTTGAAGCTGACCTTTTTTGACAAAAAGTTCTGAATGTCAAAAGGAAATGATAGAGAATAAAAGTAAACTTTTAGCTTCTGTAATGGGACACATTGATTTTGTGTCTATTGAAAGAGAGCAAGAACCTTGACACATAGGGAGGAAACATCTTAGAGCAGGAGGTGTGGAGATAGAGGTACTATTAATGTTTCTTTATCTTCTGGATCTAGCGCCACAGTCTAGCAAAACAATTATATGGTCTCCATAAATAAAGTAGCAGCTGCAGCTGACAATCTGATTTTCTGTGGGGTTTGGTATCTCTGTTCACACCTGTTCCAGTATTTGGTGTTCCCTTATTTATGGCTGTATCCCTCCAGTATTGAAGTCCAGCTTTTAAAATCTGTTTCGTCTTCACATTGTCTTCCTTTCTGTATTTGCTTCAAGTCTCTCTCTGCCTCCCTAGAATGATACCTATGATGGCACTTTGAGCCTGACCCTGCTTAGAACAGCAGCACAAAAGCCTGGATACATGGAACTCCATCCTACTTTCCAATTCAACAGCATATTCAGGTTCCAAACAATATTGGGGACAAGCAGTATTACAAAAGAATATCAGTTTACCGAATTCTAATTTTCCATGACTATATCAAACACACACAAAAACACAATCCAACTGCTGCCACAACAAACAAGCCCCAAGAGTGTCCAAACTAAAACAGTCAAGGTGTTTCCTCTCTTCATTGGTTGGGCTCGATCAACCTGCAAACAAAAATTCCTTCAGCATTTCTCACATCGAGAGGAGCCAATCCCACTGTCTGGTATCCACAGAAGACATTCACTTGCCCAGACACACACAAAATGCCCACAAGAATGTCCATACTGAAGCAGTCAGGATGCTTTCCTCTTTCAGTCATTTCAGTTTTTTCAACATACAAATGGAAATTTATTTAAAAATTTCCTAAATTGAGAGGAGTAGATCCTGCTATCTGGTCCCACAAAGGACACTCACCTACCCGGATGTAGATATCAAATCTCAAAGGCATTTATTCTGAGGCAATCGGGAACGTGGTTGGGACCTATTGTGGCAGGGCCAGAGAGAGATGGAAAATCACCTCCGGGCAAAACTGGGTAGGCAGCTGCTTAGGAGGGATTCTGAGACTGCCAGTCCATGACATTCAAGCCACAAGCAACTTGTTCCTGGTCAGGGAATTAAAATCTATTACAAAAACACCAGGGGTTCAGTCTAGAACCTACTGCTCACTGCACAGAAAGTCAATCACTGAGACAACAAGCGCTGTCAAGTAGGAAGCTTTAATTGGGTGCTGTAGTGGAGGAAATTGGAGCTCAGTCTCAAATCTATCTCCCTGACTAAAACTAGAAATTTATATAATAGGGAAGAAATGTAATGGTGTGTAAAAAAAAACAGGAACAAGAGAGGGGTAAAGAGCAATCATGATGAATTAGTCGTTCAGCAACTGATGCGGTGATCACCAGATAATTTTCAGTTATTTGATACTTTTTTTGAGAGGCCTGAAGGTCATTTCCTGAGGAAGGAACTCAGATAAAACAAATGTAAGTTTTAAGCTTTAAGACCAGTAGTGTCTTCTATGTTAATAATAATAATAATAATAAACTGTCTACGGGACTATTAAGTAGGTTTCACAGGGATTAGGACCTGATAATTTGGGGGTTCATTATTCAGGATACTACAGCTAATGACTTTTGCAGATTTTTATTGGTGGCTTAATGGCCAATCAGAGAGTTTTCTATCAAGAAATAAAACAAATGTTCAATTAAAGTTTAAATGAAGACGACTAGTTAGCCATTAGCCATTTCTTAATTTTTCATGTTCTATAAAGAACAAGCAAAAACAGGGTTATTTTGTGGTCTGGGCTGATAGGATTAATTATTGTTGATACACCTTGACCCAGGTGCTTTAAGTTGGGATATATTATTTTTATATATATATATATATATATATATATATACACACACACACACACACACACACACACACACCATATACATTTGTGTATATATATGCACACACGCATATTTACACACATATTTGTGTGTGTATATATACACATTTGTACATACACATACACATACACAATTGTATGTATGTATATCAATTTAAAGCTCCTGGTTCAAGAGGATTATAAAGGAAGATCTATAGTGCATAAAGACTAAAATAATGTCAGCTATACTTTTGTACTCAGCCAAATATTGATCGCAGCTAACTTTGTCCTTGTTTCTAAGGATTTCTGAATCCATAATGTTGACTTTGCCCAAACCAAATGAAATATACTAATAAGTGATCAATATAGTGCTATACTAGGGTGATTAATGTAGTACTGTGCAAAGCTCCAAGACAGAGCAGGTAACAACCAGCCCCAGCTGGTCAACAATTTTTATAGCATATGTATAGAATATATACAAATTATACTACATGTATCAGGTTTCTTTTGGTTTCTGTTAATGATCCAGGCTCCCCTGCCTGATTCTGGCTATGTAATCAAATGTACATTTTTAAAAAATTATTTCTAATTTCACTGATTACTTGCTGTTCAAGCTCTGACTTCAGGTTGCTTTCTCCACAGGGTCACTGCATTCCATCCTCTCCTGCTCAGGACAAACATGTTTTTATTTCTTATGTCTGACAAAATAAAAAACAAACAATGAAAAAATGTCTTTTTACCATACTTTTTCTTCAAGCTTTTGCCATCTTATTTGCTCCTCTTCACAAGGCAACTCATGGAAAGAAGTGTCTATAGGCATTGCTCTAATTTTCCTCTTATCACTTTTGGATCTACTCCAATCAGATTTCAAAATCTCCCTTCCCCATACCCATTGCCTCTCTGGCCTCATCCCTTTCCCTCTGTCCTTCGGCCTCACTCATGACTTTGTTATTCCTGGTACACAATAAGCATGATTTACTCAGGACATTTGCACTGGCTAGCACTTCTGCCTAACTTGTTTTTTTATACATAAACTGCTCTGTCATTTTTTAAGTCCTTGCTCAAATATTAACTTCTTACTGAGGTGTACCACAAGTAATTTAGTGGATAGATGTTTATCATCCTTTTCAATAACTTTCTTTGCGTAATATTCTGTCCGTTTTTAAATAGGCATATTTAGATCACCTACTCTGATTGTGATTTTTTCAATTTCTTTAATGCTGACAGATTTTGTTTTTTTTTACTGTATTTTTCATGTTACATTGTTCCCATTAATAGATTTATATGGTTATTATTATCTTCTATGTGGCATCCTCATTTGTTATTCAGTGTCTCATCTTTACCTATTATAATGGATTTTGTTAAATTGTGTGTGTGTGTGTGTGTGTGTGTGTGTGTGTGTTTCTTTTAGTTATAATTTGCCTGGTCTATTTTTCTGATCCTTTTATTTTTCACCAGTCCACATGTGTATGTTTATGTGTGTGTTCTGTTGTGCTGCTTATAAGCAGTATATCAGAGGATCTTTAGAATCTTTCTTACTCTAATCAGGACTTACAATTAATTAATTTACATTTAGTGTGAACATTATATATATAACTATTTATTTTTTGTTCACTTTTCGTCAATTTTCTAATCTTTCCTTTTATCCCCTTTTCTGCCGTTTTCTTCCTGCTTCATCAATGACTTCTGAATTTTTCCCCTCAGGTTTACATTTCTTATTAAATTTACAGTCTTTTATTGTGCTCAGTGAACATCTCCTAGTGTCATCATTTGACCACATGCCAATATGTGTTTTTATTATAAAATGTATACCTAGCTTATACATTCATTAAGACACTAAATATACAAATTTACACATGGATATAGAGAGTCGAATAATAAACATTGGAGACTCAGAAGGGTGGGAGGGTAAGGGGGGATGAAGGATGAGAAATTACTTAATGGGTACAGTGTACACTCTTCAGGTGATGATTACACTAAAAGCTCAGTCTTCACTACTATGCATTATATCCATGTAACAAAACTGTACTTCTTTCCCCTATATCTATAAAAATAAATAAAGGAAGAAAAAAAATAAATGCATACATGCCAATTTAAAGCAATTGCTTGTTCTTTACCTATTTGGAGTTTATTAATATACAATTTAACATTGCTTCATGTGTTGTGTTTAATTTTATCCAGAATTGTTTCATCTTTTAATTGTGAATTTGGCTATCTTTCTTAGGGTTATATATCACTTTGCCAAGTGGTTCTACAGGTTCATTTGATGTGTTCTCTATAAACCAAAAATAAAATTGTAAGTCCCTCAACTGATTGAATAGATGCCCTCTTGGCCAAGGGAATTTCAAAGTAAACCTGAAAAACTAGTTCAGTCCATGATGGGAAGTGGGAATGGGGTTCAGACAGACCTTATTATGCCCTTTGGAATTCAGGTACAGCTGAGCAGAATTAACATTAAAACAGATATCTTAAGACTGACCAAACCAATTCTTTGTAGCTGTAAGATGTATCACAAAATAACACATAGCAGACTTTGAAAAAAATGGAAATATTTTACCCTGAAATATATTTATTTGATGTATTCCAAAAGGGTCCTGCAAAGCTGTCTCCTGGCGGGAGGATATCTACATTTGGTAGGGAATCCTCTTCCCTTCCTAGGACTTACTCTGATCCAGGAGAGATTAGCTAAGTGTCTGGCACCTTTTTAAGTCTAAGAAATATTTACCACCTATTGTCTCTGAAGCATGCTACCCAGAGGCTTCATCTGTGTAATAAGAACCTTGGTCTCTACAACCCCTTATATTAAACCCTACATTCCTTTCTATTCATCCTAGGTCTTTAGGTAATAACTTAACTCATTCAACCAATTGCCAAACAAAAAAATCTTTGAATCCACCTTTACCAACCAAACCAATATACACCTTATGTACTCCTTACATGTATTGACATGTACGTGTCAGACATTACATATCTGCTTGTAACTCCTATCTCCTCAAAACATTGAAAATCAAGCTGTAACCCAACCATCTTGGGCACATGTTCTCAGGACCTCCTAAGGCTGTGTCATGGGAATATCCTTAACCATGGTAAAATCAACTCCTCAACTAATTGAGATTTGTCCCACATACTTTTTGGCTTACATGTCTCACACCCTCTTTTCTCAGCCACACTTTTCAGCTCCTGCATATATTATGATCCTACTTTCTTGTGGGTATCTCCTTTCTAAACCTAGGCTCATTTAAATTGGTTAGGACGACTGCCACATTACGATATTGGATATATTTCATAATGAGTACACAGATAGTGGGTAACACAGCATAGTATGTGTTGTACCCATGCCTTTAGGCCTTATTTGCATAAGGCATGACCTCTAGTAGTCATTTACTGTAATGACTCATTTTACTCATTTACTATAACGACCCATTTAATGAGAATATAGTGGTGAGACTAAATCTTTCACTTGAATTTGCATTTGGGGTATTTGTGCTACACATTTCTTATATAAGCGAACTCTTATCCGTCTCTACCTACTGCCACACACAGATGACTCCAACATGTAATGCAACATTGCATTTCTTGTCCATGAAGATTTGCTTTTGTGCTTGAGTATCTTTTTTATTTTATTTGTTTAAAAAATACAGTTTTTCATTCCAATTCCTTAATGCACTAATATAAAACAACTCCCATTTTGAAGGAACACAAATAAGTTTCTAAATTTTGTGTCACCTTATTTAATTTTAATTTATTACAGTGTGTATAACAGAAGAGGGCATGTTCTGTGTTCAAATTAGAAAATATTCCCAATCAACTGTGGTATCTACATCTTTCTGCTTTGCAATGCATAAAATAAGAAGATTAGTAATACATGACACTGCTATTCTGAGAAACCACAATCCAATATTTGGAATTAAATAAAAACAAATTACTATAATGCAAGGGAGAGCCATATAATAGTCACAAACAAAATTTAATAGATAAGATTGTAATAGATTAGGGTGTTGGTGGGAATATCAGCAAGAATGTTTTTGGAAGGGATAATAATTCACATAGGAAAATAGAGTAACGCATTTCAGAGAAATGAACCAACATGCACAAAAGCAAAAGCTTGGACAGGCATTCTGTTTGCATTGGCAGTAGTCAAGCCATACAAATTATAGGAGTATCAGAAGAAGAAGCTTAATGTTAGCTTGGAGACTTGAACGCTAGAGTGAGAAATTGATTCTCAAAATTGTTGACAACTGGTATTGTCTGATGGGATATGAGATAATGAGAATAATTGTAATGAGAATAAAAAGTCATTTAATCTGGTAGTGGAGGATATAGGAAGACATTAAAGGCACTAGAATTTTAAGTTTGTAAGGCTGGGAAATGTCCACTGACATTTAAAAACAATAATAGTTTTGGAAATATATAATTTGTTGTTTGAGAGTTTTTCCCCAAACTTTGTTGAACATTACAGTATGAAAATAAAACTTAACTAAGAATTTTACGTAAATTTTCTTATTTACTGTTTACAAGAACCCTATTAATTCTACTACTGCCCACAAAGTAAACAGAATGTAAGTAAGGTTTAGAAAGTTTGCATGTCTACTAATGACAGAACGATGACTAGAAGTGCTCGGAATACAAAGTCCTCACACATAAATGCTTTTTTCAGTGCTCCCTTGGAGCATCTGGGGATAGAAAAAGTTATGGTTACATGGCTTTCATTTGTTCATTTTATTTTTTTTTTAACATATAGCCCTTCATTTTGGGATTATAACAATCTCAGTCTTTGAAATTGTATTAAATTTAATGATGAATTTGAAGTTTAGATAAATATGCTTAGCAAATGGGCTCTTAGTGGAGAAATATCTAGTAACGATTATGAGTCAAAACTATTCTTGAAAAATATTAACATATATATGTTATTAGAATTATACATAGATATAGTATATATAGATATAAGTATTAGTAGTATTAGTAGTATTAGTATAGAATAATAATGAAATGATAATAAAAACCACACCTCTATAATTGAGATAACCTATATTCTGTAGTATCCCAGGTTAATTAGTAAAATTAGAAATAATAAATGAATTGAAAGTTATTGTGCTAGTAGGCAAAGTTTAATTTGTTGAGGTAATGTTCAGTTTAGTGATTCTAACTGGCATTTACTTTCTTTAGAGTTTTCTTCTTTTCTGATGTGTAGATTATAAAATGAAATGATGTTTAAAAGGGAATCAAAGCCTGCGTTCTTAGTGTAACGTGCTTTTATATGCGATTAGATTCATTCAATTTTATTTTATATCATATACATTCACTATGCATATTTTGATTCTAGGTTTGATGAGTATTATGATATAGATTATATTTTATGAAATAGCTTATTCTTCTAATTTAAGCTTTTTATATTTAAGTAATATGATATTTTAAATAAAATTATTTCACATCATATTGATTTTAATTAGAATTTTTTATGCATGGCCAAATATCTGTCACACTGTCAGTGTACAAACATATACACTGAATTAATGGGCTGAAATAATAAATGCAGGTTTAAATATGTACAAAAGGGCACCTTATAAAAATATTATTTTTACTATTATTATATAATCTATTTTTATATTTATCATTTTAAACAGATTCAAAGCAGAGTCAATTTTCTATGAATATCTCACCACTGAGCTGTAGAGGTAGCTTTTTTATATCTCTCTACTCATTGACAGAAATTATGTTTTCTGATAAAATGTGTACGTTCTTTGAATGCTTTAAACCACTTACATTTACATTTTGAAAAGATGCATATTAAAACCTTTGTATCTCTGGTATCCTATGATGTATCCATGTATCTTACAGAGGATCAATATTTCTTGACCTGATGAATACTTTTTAGATAATGATATTTATCACTTTGCTTAATCAAGATAACCCACAACGTACCATTTTCATAGAACTTATATTTAATAATTAATCTTGCCAAAAAAAATTTGCTATGAATCTATATGTGTTAGAAATTTGAGTAGACAACGTGCAAAACAAACAAATTGAGGTTTTAATTGACTATATTAATTGAATATTTTGAAGATTTAGAGAGCTTTGTGTACAAATTACCAATGTGTTTTTAAAATTATTTTGTTTAATTTTCATTCTCTTTTGAGAGTCTATTATAGCTACTACTTGAGTTCAAAATTTGCACAAATTAACTTTTATTATGAGAAAAAGAATTTAGGAGGTTAACCAAATGTTCTCTTTTTTAAATACATATTACATGTGGTCAGAAGAAAAAAATTGCGGAAGTCCAGCACAAATTCTCACTTTACAAATTAGATACATCACTGAAAATGTCTGATTTTATTGATTCAACAAACATTTAGAAATGCAAATATAGGAAAGTATACTTTGTCATTAAGAAGGTCTGCATATTAATGCGGCAAAAATGCTCATAATGATAATGTAAGTTAATCAGTGCAATTATAGATGTATCTCAAAATGCTGTAGGAGCACAAAGGACTGAATTGACTAACTTTGCTTGGGTGGAACATGGAGAAAGACAACTCAGAAAAATTTCATGGAGAGGGTAGAACTTATGGAGCCTAGAGAGTTTATCCAAGGTTAAGGGTGTTAGATAAATTTCTGTGGGCTCTGAAATAGAATATGTTTAGACACCAAATTAGTCCACTCTTATGATTTCTTAATTTTTATTGAAGGAAATTAGGAACAATGGTTAGAAAAATATTGTATTTAAACCATTATACAGTGTTACTATTAAAATAAAAATAAAATAACATATAAATAATACAGAAACTATGCACAATAAACAATAACTACTATCAGTCACTCATTAATTTACTCAATAATCATATATTGAATGCCACTGTATTCTTGGCAGCATTCTTGGTGTTGCAAATATGGTTTCTGAAACAGGCAACATTTTCTGCACTGGGAAAATTTATTTTTATGGGTGAGGAGAAAAAAATAAGAAATTGTGATAAATTATACAAGAAGAAAATAAAAATCAGAAAAACAGTTATGGAAGAGATAAGAAGTGGACGGGGCTTTTATTTTTAAACAGAGTTGCCAGAGAAGTTCTCACTGAAAAGTAGCATTTGAGGAAAGAACTAAAGAAGGTGATAAAGAAATGCAGATACTTGGGAGGTGAACATTCCATTCCAGGCAGAAGTAAAAGCAGTGAACACCCATAATGCTCAGGAGTGATTGGCATATAAAAGTAACAGCAAGGATGTTAGCCTGTGTCTACAGCAGAATGAATGATGAGGATAACTATGCAATAAAGTTAGAAAGATAATAGTATGAAGAAGCAGATAATACAGAATTTCAGGGATCATTTTAAGTGCCTAGTGTCTTACTTGGATGATTTTGGTAAGCTGTTGCAGCACTTTGACTAGAAGAAAAATGATTTGATTTTTATTTTAAATGAATTAGCCTGGCTGCCACACTAAAAGTAGAATGTAGCTGCACTTTGGGGGAGTGGGCCAAAGTTGGAACTAAGATTGGAAACAGTAAGAAGATAAAATATTTCAACGAGAATGAAAGTGGCTTAGTCCAGTGTTATCAGTGGAGGTAATAATAAGTGGTCAGATTCTGGGTATCTTTTGAAAGTAAAGTCTATTGAGGAAGAAAGACAGAAAATGATTTAGGTGTTTTAAATTTGGGAGAAAAATGGAATTGCCATTAACTGAATTTGGGAAAACTGTGGCTGTATAGATTTTAAGGAGAGGATGAGGATTTCAGTTTTGAACAGATTAGATTTGCGTTTTGTAACGGAAAACAAACATTAAAAATAAGAGGCTTAATCCTTCCTGTTGAAACTAAAAAAAAAAAATTCTCTTGGAGTACTTGCCTCAGGAAACCTGTACATTCTCTCTTTCTGTAAAATGTATATTAAACTGTTTTAAAAGTTAAATAAGTCTCTTGCCAACTTCAGGACTCAAGATTGCCTTTCCTAAGGACCCAGGAACCATCTTTTTGAAGTATAATCACCAAGGAATATAGTGCCCCTGTCTTCTACTATGTGTGAGAGTGTAGGGGCCTAAATTCAGAGGACTTTTCACTCCAAGTTTTAAAACTACTTCTTACCATAAAGATAAATTTTTTTTTTTCAGATAAAGTGAATTAGCTAACATGGATGCTCAACCCAATTGCCAAGTGAACTTAGTATAAACTATGTATGACAAATGGTGCATTTAAGTCCTCTTACTTGAGCACTAGTTATTGTTTACCGTGAGAGCATGTATGTAATGGGTTGTATCTTCTTGGCTAGACAAAAGGATGTAATTCCTTTCTGTTTTTGAGATCTCTAAGTGGATTGCCTGTGGTGTACATCACATTGTGGCTTAATGATTATTCAATAATAAAACTGTTTTCTTTCTCTTTTTATCATTATGGAAATGCAACAATTCCAGAAAGAAATACAGGTTGTTGAACAGTGCCTGAATTGAGTAGACCAGTTGAAGGTCTGTGGCTATGCAACAGTCAGGTAAAAGGCCCTGGATTATAAAAAGTTTCATTTTTAGATATCTACTCTTTTGGAATATTAGCTGAATGGACCACCCTCTCCAATTCAAATTTTACTTTTGAATTGCGGGGTCTAAATTTTGAATTGTGGGGTCTGAATTTTGCCTTCAGATCTTCCCCTTAAAGGGTATTATCTCCTCTCTGTTGCATTTGGAATAGATATATGAGAATCTGGTCTTGCAATGGCCTAAGAATGGTTCTTTGGATTTGAATAAATTTATGTATTTGCCAGGGCCCTGAGACAAGCCTTATCCCAAGCAAATGTATTACTAGTATTTATGGAATGACTGTCATTCTAATAAAAAAAATAATTTGGATAGCCAAAATAAAATATTTCAAAAAGTGGAACAGAAAATGTGAGAATGAAAGTCATTTCCCTTTTTGGACAATCCTCCTCCTTTTTTCTCAGGTATCCTTGCTCCCTCTACTTTTGCTGTTTATCTGTATCCCTCCTTGCCTTAAACTGACTTAGGGAAAAGGGAAGTGTTTATTCCCATAAGTATAGAAAAACTATGAATATTAGAGATGCATGGAGAGACCCATTGAGAAGGGTTGCTAATGGACATACTTGAAGCCTTTCCACTAAAGAAAAGCTAGGAGAAGTTGCAGTGGTATACCCAAACAGCATGGGAGCGCCTCATTGATAGCCACCCCCAGTGTGTTTAGGTTTTCTCACAATTCACTGGCTCAGACGGGAGCACAAGTTGAAATCACATTCTAGTCTCAGCAACTAGAATTTTGTGTTAGCTCTCTTGCCAACTGTCCACATCCCAGAACATGCATTCTAAGGAATAGGTACTAGGATGGCCAGGACAAACTGTTACTCAAATATTATATTTATCTACTCAGTTTTGGAACAAGCTAAAGAAAATTTAAAAAAAATAAAAAATAAAGACTGCTATGTTCGGCTGTTAAGTTAAAATTTTACTCAAGAGAATAATTCCTACTGTATCCAACCTATAAAAGGAATACAGAAGAAAGAAAAACTGAATGCCACTATTGCAAGAAGCCAGGATGTTTAAAGAGGGATTGTAGAAAGAGACTATGGAAGATCCGATATTTTCAGGCATAAAATAATTAGAAATTCCTAGAAAGACAAAACTTTTAGCTAGAAAATGGGTCAAAATGGACAAGTTGAGGGAATGTCATAGGTGGGAACGGGTGAACCATATGTGTCAATAACTTTTCCTCAGGCTAATCTAGCATTACTCTTTCAGATAAATACTGATGTTATATATTTTGCAATTTTCTCAGAATTTTCTTCCTTTTTGTTTGGTAATAGACCAACACAGATTGTTGGTATTTTGGGTCAGCCTTTGGCTTATTCCTTTTCCTCTGCAGTTCTCACACAGAGTATCTGACTGAAGAACTGGTGTTCTTACGTTCTCCTAATTCTTTCACAAATCAACTGAAAAAGACCTGCTGTGAAATTTAAAGTCTACCATATTCTCTACTCCAGATGGAGTTGTTCTGGAGCTCCTTTGGAAAATGGCAGCTGATTTGATCACTATGCATTTGACTTCTGATAGAAAAGGGTTATTGAAGAAAGTAGCCGTCTCATACTCTTCAGTACCCCAACTGAATCACACTGATGCGTTGCTTTGATGTAGGGAATATTCATACTGGCTTAATTAGAGATATATAACAAATGAAAACAGTATAGCAGAAGAATAATATATGGCCATATGTAAAACAATATCTTTTGCTGAGAGCTTAAAGAGAATAAAGTGGTTATAAAAACTTATGAAACCAAAGAATAATTTATAAAGCCAGTGCTTACCCTATAATATCCCCATACTTCTAATAAAAATACATATTTGATAAAAATAAATAAATTATATGTTTTGTCTGGAATTAAGTCTACACAAAAAGATGAGTGAATAGCAGTTACTAGAGTTGTAATTCTTGGTTCTGGATTTTATATACACACACACACACACACACACACACATATAGTGTCTGTCATGCAACAGAACCACATTTTTAATATGACTTTTTTTACTTCAATGATAACTAAGATATTTCCTGAAAAAGTGATAGTTGAATTGTCAGCGGTTTTACAATCGCCTTCTCAGATATCAGCAATTAATTGGAGAGCTCACATAGGGCAGAAGGATAAAGTTTCTAAAGGTAATAATTTTTTGGGATAGACCTGCAAAAGCTTCTGTTGAAATATGGTAGAATTTAGAAGCTCCCTATTTAATCTAATAATACACTTTTGTCCATTAAAAAATGCTTCACAAAATAAAAAGAAAAAATTGATTATAAAAGGAGCTTCAATAATTTGACTAGAGGCCTGGCGCAGTGGCTCACACCTGTAATTCCAGCACTTTGGGAGGCTGAGACAGGAGGATAGCTTGAGCCCAGGACTTCAAGACCAGCCTGGGCAACATGACGAGACCCCGTCTCTACAAAAAAAATTGAAAAAATTAGTCAGGTTGGTGGCATGAGCCTGGTAGTTCCTGCTAATCAGGAGGCTATGGTAAAAAACAAACAAACAAACAACTGACCAGACTATGGGAATTACCTAAAAATATTTCCCATACCTTCATCTCTATTTACTTCACTAGTATTTTATCATCAACAAATCAACTGAATAAAAGAAGGATTTTAAGAACAATAAGCTCTTACTATGCCTACCAAAAATAATAAAAATTATTCAAGATATATTAAAAAGATATGCTATTTGTCAGCAGTATTTTTTTGCAGGCCATTCCTAGGATAACCACAGGAAATTCTCACTGACCAATGTTACCTGATGGAAGCTGTTTGACAGTTGGGTTTTATAGAGCTAATGTTATCCAATTTTGGGTAACATAGAGCTAAATTTGTTTTCATAGAGCTAAATTATCCAATTGTATTGTGTGTGATTTCTAGATGATATAAAGTCTTGCTCTCTTTTAAAGATAGTTTTCTTTCTTTCTTCTTTCTTTTTTTTTTTTTTTTTTTTTGAGACAGAGCCTTGCTCTGTCACCCAGGCTGGAGTGCAATGGTGCGATCTTGGCCCACTGCAAACTCTGCCTCCCGGGTTCAAGCAATTCTTCTGCCTCAGCCTCCCTAGTAGCTGGGACTATAGGCATGCGCCACCATGCCAGGCCAATTTTTTTTTTTTTTTTTTTTTTTTTTTTTAGTAGAGACGGGGTTTCACCATGTTGGCCAGGCTGGCCTCAGACTCCCAACCTCAGGTGATCCACCCACCTCAGCCTCCCAAAGTGCTGGGATTATAGGTGTGAGCCACCATGCCCAGCCAAAAGACAATTTTCAGCAGGAATAAATGTTCTCTTAATAAACATAATTAATAATTTTGGGATACCAGAACACACTGACTAGAGCAGAGGAAGTCATTTAATTCCTACCGTTTTATAATAAGTTTGCAAAAATTTGCAAATTGCTATAAATTTCAGCCTTCTGGACAATTAAAGCAGTGAATCAAACTCTTAAAAATTGATTGGCTAGGAAAAAATAGTATTTTCAACAAACGATGCTAGACAACTGGACATCCATTTTAGGAAATGCATCTAGACAGAAACCTTAACACTTTTCACGAAAATTAACAAAGATCATAGACCTAAATGTAAATATAAAATTATAAAACTCCTAGAAAATAACACAGAAGTAAATCTGGATGGCCTTGGGTGTGAAGTGACTTATTAGATTTAAGACCAAAGCCACGATCAGTGAAATAAATGAGAAGCTGAATTTTGTTAAAATTGTGAATAATTATTATCATATAACTTGGTACACAAAAGGTACTGTCAAGAGTATGAGATGACAAGCTACAGACTGGGCAAAAATATTTTTCAAAGCTATATCTAATGGAGGATGGCTATCCAATATATATATATATATATATGTATATATATATATATGTGTATATATATATATATATATATGTATATATATATATATACATATGTATATATATATATATGTGTATATATATATATATATATATGTATATATATATATATGTGTATATATATATATATATATATATATATATATATATATATATAACTCTTAAAAGTCAAAGATAAAAAATGAGCAACTCTTAAAAAGTGAGCCAAAGACCTAAACAGACACCTCACCAAAAGAGATATACTAGTGGAAATAAGCATATGAAAAGATGTTGCACATCATATGTCTTTAGAGAACTACAAATTAAGATGCCAATGAAACACCACTACATGCATATTAGAATGGCCCAAATCCGTAACATTAATAATACCAAATGCTAGCAAGGATGTACAGCAACTGGTTCTCTCTTCTTTGCTAGCAGGAATGCAAATGGTACTGTTACTTTGGCAGATAGCTTGATAGTTTTAAAAAATATTAACATACTCTTACCATCTGATCCACTGATCACATGCTCTTTAGTACTACTCAGATAAGTCAAAAACATGTTCACACAAAAAAAACCTGTATATGAATGTTTATAGTAGCTTTATTCACAATTGCCAAAACTTGGAAGCAACCAAGAGGTCCTTCAGTTAGTTTAAGAATAAACTGTGGTACATCCAGATTATCAAGTATTATTCAGCACTAAAAATAAATGAGCTAACAAGATGTGAAGACATGGAACAAATTTAAATGCATATTACTAAGTGAATGAAATTGATCTATAAAAGCATCACACCATATGATTCCAACAATATGACATTCTGGAAAAGGCAAAACTATGAATCAGCAAGAATATCAGTGGTTCACTGGGGTAAGCAGGAGGGATGAGTAAGTACATGGAGCAAAAGGAATTTTTAGAGCAATAAAACTATTTTGTGTGATACTGCAATGATGAATTTCTATTCAAATGTTATTATACATTTGTCAAAATCCATAGAATGTACAACACCAAGAGCAAACTCTAATGTAAACTATAGAATTGAGGTGCCGATGATATATCAATGTAGGTTTATAGATTGTAACAAATGTGCCACAGTAATGTGGGATGTTGACCAGAAAGAAGCTGTACATGAAAGGGGTGGGTACATGAAAACTCTCTGTACTTTCCACTTAATTTTGCTGAACTTAAAACCGCTCTAATAAATAAAGCCTACTAAAAATGTCACTGGCTAATATTATATAACACTGTTAAGATGGCCTAGAACTTCACCACTAGCCTTGTTAGAAAAATGGACTGATACCCGCAGAGAAACAAAAATCTTTCCTTTTAAGTTTATGTGTGGACAGCCTATGGGTTTGGGACTGAGACCATGTATTGTGCCCAGTTTAACTGAATCTATTAATAATCCTGTTAAATACTTGGAATGGCTTCTTTTTCCCCATAGAAACCCTAAGATAATTCATAAGCACATGAGACAACAAGCTGTAAGAAGTCTGCCACATTGGTTGCCCAGGAGATGTCATCTACATAAGTGTGTTCTGCAGGAAAGACTAGTTGTCACTACACTAGAAGACATTCTTCAAAGTGTTGCTGATCACACACACACACACACACACACACACACACACACACAACAAAAAACAAGACAGCAAGACAGCTAGATTTGGGCTTCCCATGGGAAGCAAGCTTCTCAGGAGTACTGGACTATAGTTCCCAGTTCCCCAAAAGTATTTAACATTTAAGTTCCCTATGGTAACTGGTATTGGTATCAAACTTAACTGAAAGGATGTATTCCAGCAACCCTATTACTATTCTCATAGACTACTTTGCTGTCCTATTTACAGTAGAGTTATTTAAATTAGTTTAAGAATCACAAATTATTAGAAAATAAATGACATTTGTTACATTACTCCTTTCTGTATCCCAGTAATAATCCCATAATCTCATTTCTGGTCAGCTATAAACTGCACTCCCATTATAAACACGGTCTGGGCTTATTGTCTTAGACTTTTTTTTTTTGTTACATTAACAATATACTCTAGATTGGGTAATTTATAAAATAAAAGACATTTATTTCTTACAATCCTGGAGTCTGGGAAGTCCAAGAGCATAGCACTGACATCTGATGAGGACTTTTTTGCTGCGTCAAAATATGGAAGAAGACATTATTGATTGAGAGGATCAAGAACATGAATGTCAGTTTAGGACTCTCTCTCTTTTTTTATAAAGTCATTTGTGCCAACATGGAGCTGCTACACTGATGACCTTTTCTAATCTTCATTACCTCAAAAGGTCCCACCTCCTCACATTTTTATGGTGGCAATTAAGTTTCTAACACATACACTTTGGAGAACATATTTAAATCAGAACATTTATAAATTCAGCAATCTGACTATTGATTAAGGAAAGTGAATCATCTTCATTAGCAATTTTTTGATAATAAAGTAAAAGTAATTAATATTCATCCAGGTACTTCAGCTCTAAATTTGACACAAAAATTTTTTTTGAAGGAAGATGTAGGAAAAGAAAATATCTAATTAATAGACAAATTAAAATCTGATAGCTCAGAGTAGATACTGTAAAAGGCAGATTTAATGTCACCTGATAAACATTAAGAAGCAAGTTCTCTCCAGTTCCATATAGAGAAATACACAAAGATGAAATTCTGTTATTCAGAGAGGTCAAGTTCACTGTTAAACTGGGTAACCATTGTTTTAGATCCAATGCAAAGCAAGCAAGCAAAACAAAAAACAAACCAAAAAAGCTATAGGGCGAGTGATATGGTTTGGATCTGTGTCTCATCCCAAACCTCATGTGGAATTGTAATCCCCAATGTAGAAGGTGGGGCATTGTGGAAGGTGATTGGATCATGGGGGAGGTTTCTCATGAACAATGTAGTACCATCCCCCTTGGAGGTGGAGTCACAATAGTAAGTTCTCATGAGATCTGGTTGTTTAAAAATGTGTAGGTGCTCCCACCTCTCTCTCTCCTCCTTCTCTGATCATGTGAAGGGCTGGTTTCTCCTTTGTCTTCCATCATGATTGTAAGTTTCCTAAGGCCTCCCCAGAAACTGAGCAGATGCCAGCATCATGCTTTCTGTACAGCCTATGGAACTGTGAACCAGTTAAACCTCTTTTCTTTATAAATTACCTAGTCTCAGGTATTTTATAGCAATGCAAGAACAGACTAATGCATTGGGTTTGTTTTCAAGACTTAAAACAATGAGAGCCATTTACATTAAACACTGGAAGTTCAATCTGTACCTTTAAATGAGGTCTCATTATAAGGCTCTAATACTAGATAATGACTCTGGTGTCTTTGATTTCCACATCGGAGAACAATTATTTGGGAAGATAGAACGATGGCTAAATAGACTAAATTGTCATGTAGTATGATGGAACTTATGGGACTGACTGAAATGTAGGATGAATTTACTGGGTCTTGCAAGAAAAAAAAACTTTAAAGTGAACATGTAGAAAGTCGTATGGTTTGAATGTGTCCCTCAAAATTTCATGTGCTGAAAACTTAATATTTAATGGAACAGTGTTAGGATGTGCAGCCTAATTTATTGATTTACAAAGACAGATCCCTCATTGATGAATTAATGTTGTCATGAAAGAGGATTATTTATCTCAATTGCAGATTATTATATCATTATTCTAAAAGCAAAGTTGGTCCCTCATACTTTCTTTTCACACACAATTGGTTGTCTGTTCACTCTTTTGCAATGGAATAACATAGCATGATGGCCTTCAACCGATAATGACACCATGGTCAAACATTGCATTTTTCACAAATGTGAGCTGAATAAACTTCTGTTCTTTATAAATTACCTAGTCTGTGGTATTCTGTTATAGCAACAGGAAACAGACTAAGACAGATAAGGCAAAGAAATATTGAGAAATAGGACTCTCCTTCAATTATCCCCATTCAATCTGCTTGTCTATGCCTTTTATTTCTTCTATTTGACAAACAAAACAAATACACCAAAGAACAGCAATAGCAACAACCACCTCTGTAACAACACAGGTTGAGTATCTGTATCTGGAAAATGATCCAAACTTCACAACTTTTTGAACATCAACATGACTCTTAAGGGAAATGCTCTTTGGAGAATTTTGGATTTCGGATTTTTGGACTAGGAATGCAAAAGTGGTAAATATATAATACAAATATTCCAAAAATTCCTCCAAAATTAAAATCCAAAATACTTCTGATCCCAAGCATTTTGGATAAGGGATACTTAATCTGTACTGTGCTCCAGAAATGCTAGAAAAGTGGGTGTTAAATGTTCTCTCCAAAAAGTGAGAAAAATGTGTAGTGATGCATATATTAAGCAGCTACTTTTAAGCATTCCACAACGTATATGTGTTTCAAGGCAACATATTGTACGTAATAGATACATATAATTTTGTCAAATTAAGAAAAATAAATTCAAAAAAAGAATTAAATAAACAATACAGATTTGTAAATAAACAAATTGTGAAGGATCATATTTGATTTCTAATGAGAACTTACTTTGATCTGTGCTCCCAGCTAAAGGCTGGGATTTTTTTTTTCAATCAGTAAGACATGGCTTTCTTTTATTGTAACATTTATAATAAAAAAAATAGATTTTAAGGCTTCAGTGCTAAATGACACCTGAGGCTGGGATTGGGTAAGTCTTCATAAGCAACTATCAAATTATACTTAAACATCTGAAAATGGAAGCCATAAAGACACTATACAAATTCATAAAATTCATCTATGACTTGGAGAAATCTCTGTGAATTACTAATGATGAGTATTATTTAAGTTTTAACCTGTGGTATAATATATTCAAAGGCTATTTCTTAAACTCAAATCATGTATTTTACTTTTAAAAAATTTAGTAATTCTATTATTCTATCATGATACTAATTATTGATTTGCTTTGTTTTTACTATGGGCTTGGATTTTAGACAGCTGCAACTTCCCCCCCAAAAGGGTAGAAATAACAATAAAAATAATTAGAAACATTATAGTGTTACTATTTTATAATAACACAAAGAAGAGATTGCAGGGGCAAGTACAAACTACAAATAAGAAACTAATTATCCCTGTTGATAGTAAGGAAAAAGACTGTCCCTCCCTTTTCATAGAGCCATTACTTTAAAAACTTAAGTTCTTTCACTATTTGAAATGTATGTAGGTCTTTGTAAAAGCTAAAGAATCCTCTTCCACCTACATGACCCAAGGTTGCTTTTCTCAAGGACTTAGGAACCATCTCCTTGAAATGTAATAATCAAGGAGAATAGCACCATTATCTCCTACCTTCTGTGGGATCCTAGGGACCTCACTGTTGCAGGAAGTCAGGGACCCCAAATGGAGGGACCAGCTGAAGCCATGATGGAAGAACATAAATTGTGAAGATTTCATGGACATTTATTAGATACCCAAATTAATACTTTTATAATTTCTTATGCCTGTCTTTACTGCAATCTCTGAACATAAATTATGAAGATTTCATGGACACTTATCATTTCCCCAATCAATACCCTTGTGATTTCCTATGCCTGTCTTTAATCTCTTCATCCCGTCATTTTCGTAAGCTGAGGATGTATGTCGCCTCAGGACCCTGTGATGATTGCGTTAACTGCACAAATTATTTGTAGAGCATATTTGTTAGAATAATATGAAATCTGGGCACCTTGAAAAAAGAACAGGATAACAGCAATGTTCAGGGAACAAGAGAGATAACCTTAAACTCTGACTGCTGGTGAGCTGGGTGGAACAGAGTCATATTTCTCTTCTTTCAAAAGCAAATGGGAGAAATATGACTGAATTCTTTTTCTCAGCAAGGAACATCCCTGAGAAAGAGAATGTGTCCTTGAGGGTAGGCCTCTAAAAGGGCCCCCTTGGGTGCAGCCGTCTTTTATGGTCGAGCTGTAGGGATGAAATAAGCCCCAGTCTCTGGTAGTGCTCCCAGGCTTATTAGGAAGAGGAAATTCCCGCCTAATAAATTTTTGGTCAGACCGGTTGTCTGCTCAAACCCTGTCTCCTGATAAAATGTTATCAATGACAATGGTGCCCAAAACTTCATTAGCAATTTTAATTTTGCCCAGGTACTGTGGTCCTGTGATCTCGCTCTGCCTCCATTTGCCTTGTGATATTCTATTACCTTGTGAAGCACGTGATCTCTGTGACCCACACCCTATTCATAGGCTTCCTCCCCTTTTGAAAATCACTAATAAAAACTTGCTGGTTTTACGGCTTGTGGGACATCACGGAACCTACTGACATGTGATGTCTCCCCCGGATGCCCAGCTTTAAAATTTCTCTCTTTTGTACTCTGTCCCTTTATTTCTCAAACCAGCTGATGCTTAGGGAAAATAGAAAAGAACCTATGTGAAATCGGGGGCAGGTTCCCCTGATACCTCACTTCAGAGGACCTCATTTTCCAAGTTGCAAAAGTACGTCTTGTCATAGAGATAGAAGTTTATTATTCCTTTGGATAATGTCAATTAGCTAACACAGATAATCAGCCAATCACCAAGCAATATTAGGATGAATTGTGACTAATGGTGCTGTCAAGTCCTCTTACTTGAGAACTAATTATTATTATTTTTTAATCTTGAGAACTTATATGTAATGGGTTGCATCTGCTTGGCTGTATAAAGGATGAGATTTCTTATAGTCTTTGCAACTTCTTAGATTACCCCTGATGCTTATCACATTCTGGTTTAATAGTTATTCAATAATAATAATTTTTTCTCTCTTATCTTTGTGGAGAGGTTTTGGGGGCTGGTGGGAGATTTTGTTTTTAATTATATTTCTTTCAACAGCTGTCCAGTAAGCAGTTGCATATAGGATTTTGCAGTCAGGGCACATTCCCCGACTACATATAGAAACAGTGTTTCCTAATATGCATACACCTATGTATTGAGGCGTTGTTGTTCTGGGAATGGTATATAAAGCCAGAAGACTAGCTGAGATTACTAAAGGATGTAGATAGTCTTGATATATCAAATCCTAGTAGTGGGTCACTCCAATACTAAAAGGTTTTTAAAAAGAGAATCCAGCAATAAAGTCAGAGAAAAAAACAGCTAATAAGGTAGGGAGATGGTAAGAGAAGTAAAGAGTCCTGAATCCAATTGAAGAAAGTATTTAAAGGAGTATCATGGATTTAATTGTGTAAAATGCTGCTGTTAGATGGAACAAGAAGATGCTGACAATGAATATTGGATTTAGCAACTTGAGATCATTAGTAATCTTAGTACAGCTGTTTTGGTGGTGAAGGCATCGGGGGTTCAAAACCCCACTTGAGTAAATTTAAGAGAACAGTTTTAGCAAGGTGGTCAGGTGTAGATTGGAATGTTTGAACTGGCTCTTACGAAAAAAGAAAATAAAGCACAACACTTCAAAGAAGCCATATCTCTTTCAAACACCACATCGAGTAGCTTGAAATGAGCCCTGATATCTTAAAATTTACTCTAGTGGGAGTAGGTATTTATACTGTGAATCTCAGAAAACATTTCAGATTAGAGCTTTGTTCTGCAGAAAGCTGGTTGTTAAAATATTTATCAGCATACCACAGAGTGAAAATCAGATGAGAGTGAGTTTAAAAGATTGAGAGAAAAAGCAGCAAGTAAAAATAATGTTCTCAAGAGGGTTTGCTCTAAAGAAGGGCAAAGAAATTGTGCAAAAGCTGGAAAAAAAAAGTGTTGTTACAGAGGTGGTTGTTGCTATTGTTGTTCTTTGGTGTATTTGTTTTGTTTGTCATATAGAATAAAAGCCATAGACAAGCAGATTGAATGCTTCAATCAAAAGGATAATAGCATGACACAGAAGAGAAAAGGAATAATTTCAAGAATAACTCGTTGGGCCTGAAGGAAAGAATGAGTCCTAATGGATAGGAATAAGGTGGGACTGGTATTAGACAGGAGCCTCTGAAGTTATCAGTCACAATGCCAAGGTGGACAGAGCATCTTGGCATTCCTGCAGACAGGGGAGTAGATAAAGCGAGGAGATAAAGGTGGTGGAGGATCTCTTCTGTTTACCTTCATAATTTCCTCAAGAGGCATTAAATTTTGAACATATAAGGCATGTGTCTATTTCATTCTTTCACACAAGACTACCAAAGGAAAAAAAAATCAAGTTACAGTTTAATTACCTGAACATACGCATTAAAATATACTACATTCAAATTCTGACCCACTCGGTTAGGCTTATGTACTTAAATAGGCACAAATTATGTGCTTTCTTCCAGTAGTCCATTAAATAATTTACCCAGAAGGTCCATATGATATAACTTTAGTACAGAGCTCAGAAGTTCTCTAACATGCATTAAGCTAATCTAACTCATGCCAAAAAATGAACAGCACCAGCAATGAATTTTCTAACTCAATCTACGAATGGTCATTTCAATGAAAATACGCTTTAGTCTGTTTGCCATTAGTGACTACATGGATCAAAGTTATATTTACTAACATACTCTCTGGACAAATGTCTATTGTCAATTTAAATGTCAATTGACAACAGAAGAAAATTATATTTTTTGGTTCTATTGCGTGTGTTGTTTTGCCCAAGAGTCTATGTATTTATACACACATTAATATATATACACACAAAATATATACATATCACACATATATATTCATGTATATAAATGGAATTACTCATTTTATTAAATTAGGTGTACATAAATAATATGGTCAAATAATAAGCTATGTTCTCCCTCTTACATTATATAAGACATGCATATTGAATATTTCAAGGAATTAATTGGATTATATATTATGTAATGCTTTTACAATACATATTTCTATTAATAAAGATGATACCTGTTGGTGAATATACTCAAACTGTTTTGTTGCTAGAAAAAGAAATCTAAGCTCAAATTTAAGATTTTTTTACATCTTTACGTCCATAAATTCAACAAGACAAAAGGGGAAGGATAAAGAGCTGTTTTTGTCACTACCTATCCAAAGCTTCAATAATATCCCATTTAACTGACAGAGTGACAAGCCTAGCATCTTTATTTTATCCTCATAATTTAATTTACAAACAGCTAGCTTTACTCCCTTACCCTCCAGACCCAGTGTCAACCTTATTGAATGAAAATTCAATTCTCACCAAAGGCCCTCAAGGGTAATTACTGGTCTGTGGTGAACAGTTTTGCTGAGAGAAAAAAGTTTTGCTGAAAGACATTGTTTGGTGAAATCCAAACAATGTCTCTTTGTAGTGATAAAAATACCATCTCCGTGGATTTACATTTCACTCCTCTAGCAAAGCAATTTAATGATTTGTTTACTTTCTTTACTTTTACATAGGCACAAGCATCAGTATTTTTTTCAATTATTCTTAGTCCTTTCTTGTGGTCAGTTTATAAAGCACACTGCAATTTTAGAATTTTCAGTTTGTTTATAAATTCGTAATTATAGAATTATATTAATATTTATTTGGATTTTTAGCATACAAAAACAATTCTTAAGTTATTAAATAGGGCTGAGTGAATTTGTTTGTGGAATTGTTTACACAAAAACCAACTGATTAATAACTGCAGGAGAAGCTCTATTTTATTTACAACATGCTTTGAGAAAATGAGAAAGCCATAGATTGAGATTCTGAACAAAGGTAAAAGAGATAGTTTTGTTCATTTTGATCATGTAGATTATCTCTGAACCTGGAAGTAAATTTCAAGATTGTCACTAAAAAAAAAAAAAAAGAAAATTAGCCTTGGTACTACTTACCTGAATCAAATAAAAATGATTCTGTCTCAGGCCTTTACGTGACAAACACTTCATTTATTTTCCCAGTTAGATATCCAGCTGTATGTTTACCTGAGGAACTTAACAGTCAAAGATAATCACAAAATCACTTTGAACTCATGAAAATAAATATATCGTAGTTTTTTTTTTGTTTTTTAGAGGGAGTCTCGCTCTGTCACCCAGGCTGGAGTGCAGTGGTGCGATCTCGGCTCACTGCAAGCTCAGCCTCCCGAGTTCACTCCATTCTCCTGCCTCAGCCCCTCGAGTAGCTGGGACTACAGGACTACAGGCGCCCGACACCACGCCCGGCTGATTTTTTTTTTTTTTTTTTTTTTTTAGTTTTAGTAGAGACGGGGTTTCACCGTGTTACCCAGTATGGTCTCGATCTCCTGACCTCGTGATCCGCCCGCCTCGGCCTCCCAAAGTGCTGGGATTACAGGCGTGAGCCACTGCGCCTGGCAAATATATGATAGTTTTTTTTTTTTTTTTTTTTTTTTTTTTTTTTTAAGTACGATCTACTAGAACCTTTTCTTTCCTGTCATCCAAAATTACATTTCCTCTGTATCCATCCCAAAATGACAAGAAATAGGGCGTCCTGGATCCAGACTGATAGAGGTAGGCATTATTATTTTGTTTTGTCTTCCATGGAAAAACTTAGACACAGAAAAAAAATAACATCAGAAAGTTCATACGTCTGGTAAATAATAGACTGAGATTTGAACTGAAATCATTTTCAAATCCATTAAGGGAGATAGCCAATAGAGAAAAGAATAAATAAATGCATTTGAGTATAAAGAAAGTAATTTAACTCCTGAAAATGAATCAAATAATTAATACTAATTAATTATATTTTTTAAAAAGAGGAGAATAATAAAAGTCAAGAGAGGAGAGTAGTAGAAAAGGTTCCTGTGGTAACTCACCTGTGCCTATTCTACAACCAAATCCAGAAGGTTTAATGTCCCCTCAAACATCAACTTCAGGGGAATGTTGAGGAGTAATGGAGGAATCTCCTGGCAGAATTGCCTTGGTAGTGAAAGCAGTCATTATGAGGGAGACAGCCAAAACATAAAAAAAAACACAAAAACAGTAAGGACGTGAACAAAAGTAGAGCAATGCAATACAATGATAAAACCAAGAAAGTAAATGGTTTGACACCATGATGGAGTGGGGTTAAAAAGTAAGAGATTGAGAGTCTGAGAGCTTATGTTTAGATCTTGACTCCCTCTTTCCAACTGGGCTATCAGGAGGATGTACTTAATCTCTTTATGATTCAGTTTTCATGTATGCGGAATGAGAATGATAATATCTAACTTTCATGGTTTTCATGTATATTAAAGGAAAGGATGACTATAATCACCTGGTATAGGCTCCACCAAATAAAATGTCAATCTCTATCAGATATTCTTATCAGTAGTACTATAACTAAGTTAATCAATAAATAATTTATTCTTGAATACTTGACAATTGATGTGATGAATAACTGTTTTGAGCATTGGTGTAGAATGTTAGTATAGTTATTTGCTTATATTAATTAAAATTTAAAAAACAATCATGTCATTTATTTGCCATGCTAACTTTAATATTGTACGTAGTCTTTTATATCCTATGTTATTGAGTTGAGTTGGGCATTTGTAAATAAGATGATTGTATTAAAACCCCAAGTTTGTGTTAGAAGTACTATTTCATTATGATGCTTGGGTTTTGTTTCTGTTTTTGTTTTCATTTAGTTACTTTAAAAAATCTACTAGCATGATCAAATACAGCGGACCCAGGTTTGTTATCAGGCAAATCTGATGTACCAGCTGCCTGACCCTGGAACATATTCTGCCCTTTTATAAGCATCTGGGGATAATGCAAATCAGCTCCTAGAATTGCTGTGATAGCTAATGTGCTAGGTAATCATGTAATCCCAGGGAGTGGTTTAATGTTCTACCAACAACTGCAATTAAGACCAAACCCAGGAAAACGAATTTTCATATACTACAGAGAAAACCATCAACTTTTAGGTCAAACATCTTTCCTCAGGGCTTGTTGAAATGGTGATCAAAGTTGACACAGGTGAGACAAGAATTTCAGACTGTAAGTAGCATGGGTTAATGCACTGCTCCTAAAAAGGGTCATTTTCACATATAATTCATGCATGAAAGATGAAGAGCTTCTTCTCTCTAAGGTAGTGTCAGTGGCCTCAATACAAATATTGAAACAATGAGTATAAATATATTTTCTCATCAGCTCTTTTTAATGTAACCAAAAGGCATGTTCAGTCACTCACCACTTGCAGAGTTCAATTGACAAGAGCAAGGTTTGGTATAAAGAAAATGACTTTATTCTAAAGCTGGCCTAGGGGAAGAAGTGCAGGCTTTCTGCCTTAAGGGTACCACTTTGCTTTTGGAGTAGAAAGCAGGCACTTTTAAAAGTCAGGGGACAAAATGTGCAAGTGAAGCGTCCTCGTACTAGCTTGGGTGCCTTACCTACTTGACAGTTGGGTCAGTGTCTTCATGGGCAAAATCAGGTTTTAAAGGTGGGCAAAAACTATAGCCAGGCATACTTTGGGTTGTAAATTCACTGTTATCTCTCAAGGCAACCTTCTGGTGGGTAAGAGTTTAGCTCTGGAGGTGCTAAGCACATAGATGAACTTGCCTTGTAGGGAGTGCCTGGTGAAGAGGAGGTAAAAGGCTATCTATAATTTCATTTCTAAAGAGCTAACTAGGAAGTGGGGAGAAGGAGTAAAGAGAACAGAAGAGGGAAAAAAAATTAAAATATTTTCTTAAAAAATGGGGGTACTCGGTTATACTAACAAGTCTTTGAGATAAAAATTGATAACTTGGTTTACAGTAAATTTGTATAAAATTCACACCTAGTAGCTGACAAAAATTTAAACCCAGTTTATGTTTCCACAACTTTTTTAAATTTCAAGACTATACAACATGCTACTGTGCCTGAAAAAAAAACCAGATTTTAATAAATAATTTTTTTTCATTTTTCTCTTTTCTGAAAATATGATTTGTCACATACTATGTACATATACACACATACATATATATATATGTGTGTGTGTGTGTGTGTGTGAATAAGAACAGTCAAAATTAGAGCCAGAAAATTATAAAATAATCAGTATTCAAATCCTACAATTGTCTCAATAAATAAAGTAAAACATTAGGAATTTATACCTGAGTATGCCTTTATCTGCAGTATTTTCTGCATTGGGCTGAATGCCTTTTATTTGCTCCTCCAGATTCCTATCTACTCTGATTCATCCTGATTGTATTAGTTCATTCTCGCATTGCTATAAAAAACTACCTGAGACTAGGTAATTTATGAAAAAATAGGTTTAATCTACTCACAGTTCTTCAGGCTGTACAGGAAACATGGCTGGGGAAGCCTCAGGAAACTTACAGTCATGGTAGAAGGTGAAAGGGAAGCAGGCAATGTCCTCACCTGGCACAGCAGGAGAGAGAGAGAGTGAAGGGGGAGGTGCTACACACTTTTAAACGACCAGCTCTTGTGAGAACTCACTCAATAGCATGAGAAGAACAAGAAGGAAATCCACCCATATGATCCAGTCACCTCCCACCAGATCCCTTCTCCAACACTGGGGATTACAGTTTGAAATGAGATTGGGTTGGGGGGGCACACATTTTTAAAGGATATCACTGCTCTATGCCATAGGTGACGCATATGTACGACAACAGTGGCTCCTAAACACTCCAGCTTTCTGATGAATTGTAGCAACAGGAACCAAGCAGGTGTTCAGAATACGGGAAGTGAGTAAGGTCAGAGTATTTGTTTCCTTGGCTCCTTCCTTGAAGGGTCATCTCTGGCTGGCTAGCTCTCTCCAAAAAGGAGCACTTACGATGCTCATTCCATATATCTGTGACTTCTCCTTCCCCTGGTCTCTTAGGATACAGGGATGGTAATAACTTCACTGTACTGCTAACCTTGAGGTCCCTGTGGTTTCTTAGACTACGACTCCTTAAAATATAGTAATTTGAGTGCACCATCTGTTTTCTAATAGGGCCCTGACTGATAGATGTATTGAATATATTGTTTAAAGATAATGAAAAAAAATATTGTGTGTTATGTGTTTAAGCATTATTCTACCATAGAACCTAAATTATGCATGTATTATAGATTAAATATTTATTATATGTTAAACATATTTACATCATACATGGTATGTTAAATTTGGAATGCAATTACCAGCACATATTCTTTTTATTTTATCCAATTTCAAACATGAAAATGTTAATTCTAAATTTCTATTTTGGAATTCATTTCAATGGAGCACTGTTTTGTTCCTCAAAAGACATGGTTGGAAAAGTTTATGTTCACAGCTCAAAGTTTCCAGTTGTTTTTACATTTTTTTCTTTGAAATTAAAATATGTTTGAATCTGCTTTGCTTTTGAAATGGCAAAGCATTAATATAATATCATTTGCCTCTTTCCTTAATATACCTTCTCTGTTTTTATTAATCACATATGTTATTAAACTTGTACCCTGGTACTTTCAGGTATATGTAAAGAGCTACTTTAAAGTAATTCAAACACACCAACCAGCAGGAAGCTCAAATAGACATCCTGATAGGCTAGTCTCTTAAGGGAAAATATTGTGGCTGCTTTATTTCTCCAAAATCCTCAAAAAATATAGAAAATATAACTACTACATTTACTTTCAGAACAAGAAAAAGGCTTTCTATAATAAGAAAGTCAGTCTACTATTTGCTATTAAAAAGTTCTTTTTCCATAAATTTGCTGAAGCTGAAATTGATTTTAATCAACTTTCAAAAAACTTAGTTCACATATCCTAATGGCCTGTTGTATTTATTTACTCAAGCCTAGGCTTTTGTTATGTTCTGTCACATACAACCTCAAGGGCATTGACATTCTGATGACATTGTGATCACTAGACTTTAGATGACTCTGTACCACTATCGTATTTTTCATCCTTGTCTCATTTCCCAGCCACATTAAGATGAAGTGTATAATAGCCTAGGCTTCCTGTGGATTGTTCACTGGATATGTCAGGAAACAGCCTGTGTTACCTCCAGGAAAAGAAGCCCTTTCTTATCAATGCCATAATTGCCATCCCAGTCAATATTAGCTAATTGAAATCCCAGTGATTAATGATCTATCCTTTTAAAGGCTTTTTCTTATCTCAGCGAGCTTTTGAAACCATGCCTAGGAGGTCTGTATCATTTTCCAGTAATTTTTTTTTTCCTTTCTCTTCTAGTTTTAATTTTCCTGTCTTTCATCTTCATAGAAACTGTCCCTACTCAGGTGTCTAAGCTACATGTGTCATTTATTTATTTTGTCACTGTCTCCTTCCTCATTCATATTGCCATGTATCTTTCTGTCCTGTGGTGTCTATCCCTTTAATAAAACATATTTATCATGGTATTTTATTCCTTCCCTCTGACTAAATATAGTTTATAGAAGAGGCACAAAGAAAAAAGGAGTCTGAATAGCTAGTGACAGTTCTAATTGCTTAGATGTTAGATAAATAAGGTATCATGAAAATTGGTTTTATCAAGTCATCAAAACCTAGCTTTTCTTAAAAACAGTTACAAAGTTCAAGGACCTTGAAACACACAGCTGTAGGTTTATAAACAGAAGAGTCAACTATATTTAATATATTAATGTATGAAACATAGTTTTGTTGTTTTGACATTATTCTCATCAGTAGTATACCAAGATTAGTTTTATTCTGTGAATAGTTCAACAAAAAGGTAGGTAGGTGTTCAACTGAATTGTAACTTCCTCTAGGTCAGGACCTAAAAGTAAAAAAATAGTTTCATCACAGTAGTGCCTCAGGGAGCAAACAAGTTTTTCGTGATCAATCTATACTTATTGAAAGAATTAATGGGAAGAAATATAGTTCCTTAAAATTTACTTAATATAAGTAAAAATTGTGGAATTTTGTTTTGTTTTGTTTCTGTGTATGAGGATGTAAACTAGTGAAAGGCTGGCAAAAAATGATACCTCCTGAATGCCCCTTGTTCCCACAGGCTTTATAGGCTGTGAGCCATATTGAAAGGGATATAAATAACACTTATTATTCTAATATTACTTTGGTGTCATTTTGACATACCCATAGAATTCTGGAGATAAATGACTGTTATAAATACAAAATAGGAGGGTTCAATACTGAGAATCAGTTTAAATGTCATTTGCCATTTATTTGCTGTAATAGACATTTAAAATCTAACATTTATGGTAATGTGTATCAAAAATGAGTTGTAATGCAGAACATTTGGTAAGACTTGAAAAAAGACATAAATAAAACAGTATTAGGATTCTTAAAAACTTCACATGTCTTGAGAGATTAAGAGTCAGGTTTGAGATTAGAGAAATCTTTTATTCAGTGAATGATGCTAGCAGGAGGCTTTCTGACTGCAATACATCCCTTCGCCTATCCCCAAGAAAAAAAGTAAAATTGTTGTTTATTATTTCAAGTCAGAGAGATATTTTTTAAAATAGTGCTAAGAATTTAATATGTGTCCCATGAAATTTGGAGAAATCTAGGAAGTCAAACTCCGTGTCACGCCTGTGTTATCTGTAAAGAGAAGTTGGAAGAATCAGCATAGGAAGTTAAAATAGAAGGCTGATATTTAGAATGTAGCTACACTCCCAGATTCTTTTGGGAAAATGGATGCATGCTTGTTTTTGGTGAATATATACTGGTCACCTACATATGCTATGCTCAAAGGCACCTTTCTCAAGGCTGAGCAGAGGAGTAAGACACAATGCAATGATACTGTTTTACCACTACAAGGGTTCTGCAGATGGCAGTTCCCAGCTAGGGAGGGAGGAAGTGGAGGGAGATCCTGTAAACTCCATGAGTGATTTGTGAAAGAAGGAATAAGCTTAAACTCCTGTGAAGTCCAGATATTGAAATATCAGATGTGGACATTACCAGGCAAAAAAGAACTTTGTTAAACATTATTCTTCTCTTCCCTTATTGCTCCAACAGTGAAAAGGTAAGAACTCAAGAGTTTATGAGCTAGAGAAGTATGAAACGCTAAGCAGAAAATCAAAGAAAAATCAGCTTATACCCATGCTTAGATAGGAGTGCAGTATCAATTCTAAACCAAGTTCCAAAGTCTGAATGTTGTATATGGCTGGACTTTATAGTTACTAAAATAATATTGTAGTGCCTAAGAATGACCAGAAATGTAGTGGAAATATCCAATAGCCTGTTGCTAAGGCAAGCTAATTTACTGAGTGTCGTCAAAGGCAGAATGGCTTTCAAAGTATGCCGTTGTATTAAGATTATAGACCACAACTCGTTTATTGTTAAGAATTCCAGTTACACAAGTTATGTGACCTTGGGCAGGTAACACAATTACTTTGATTCTATTTTATGTCAGCAAATGGTGACAGATATGATGACAAGTCCCAAGATCTGGTGACCAGCTGAAAAAAGCCTGACAACAGTACACAAACAGAGACAAGTTAAACACTTATAAAATATTTTTAAAATGTTATACTTCTATTTTATAACTGAGTATAATCTGAAAAGATTATAGAGAGAAACTACAAGCAAATAATTAGGATTTTATGTATAATATATAGCATCAATAAGACTTAGTTCATAACAATACTTTTATTAAATATAGCAAAATGCAACATCAAGAATTGTATAAAACTGCTCAAACCCTAAATCTTTCAAAGAAAAAATACAGCCATTTAAAAATATTTTTTGAGATAAAATGTGAAAATATATTAACATTTTAGTACTGGGAGAAAAGTTCGCTGAAAGTTCTAGTAGAGTTGGTTGAGAAATACCTTACTCTCGAATACCTAAATAATTTGAAAATGTTACTACCTTTAAAAAGCAACTAGCATAGCACAATATGTACTTCTACAAAATGTTATGTACTGTGGATCTGGAAAAAAAATGCTATTGTTACACATACATGATATTCTGAAATGCTCAGATCTAAGGAAGTCTTAACAGTAGGCTATTAGGTTTCCATATTCAGAAGTAAAGATAAAGTTTCCACAGAAATGCTCAATTGTAGTCAGGCTGTCACCCCCCAGTAAGGGACATAATTAAAGCTATACAAAAGACTAGTTATGAAGGGAACCGTGAATGTTTGATAGTGACAACTTCAAGTGATGTTTTTTTCTTTTCTTTCTTTTGTTAGTTTTAAAGGGAGCTAGGTGTGTATATAGGGAGGGTTCCCCCTTTTTTATTGTTTTTGATTAGTGATAATTCATCAATAGTGCAAAGAGTTATCTTTTATTTCAATAGGACACAATCAGCAGTCTGTTTATATTAAACAGGGCAGTTGTAAAACAGAGTTCTATTAATAAATACAAAACTCTAGAATAATATCTAAGTTAATTTTTCTCTATTCACTAAAAATTATTGATGGGAAAGTGGTATTTGGTAGGTTGGTGGGGAGAGATATCAAATGACAAAAATGTTCTGGAGAAATTACTAAGAATAAAATTGTAATAAAGTATACATGAGTAACAAGGCAACAAATATAATTGTAATCTGACAAATTCAAGGACATTTTACTCGATGTTATGTAGGATAGGATCTACTACATACTACGTACATCCAACATATAATGCAAGCATCTAGCAGTGTAAAAATATTTGTATTTATTGAAGTATAACAGTAATGTGTATATTTGGAATGCAGTATGTAATCTCAACCATTTTTTCTTTTAAAAATATAAGCAAATCTAAATTAGTTCTGCAGTTTTTTTTTTCTATGTAATTCAGGATTGCTTTGATTACAATGGTGCTTTAGTCTGTTTTCCATTGCTATAAAGGAATATATGAGGCTGGATAATTTAGTTTAAAATAGGTTTATTAAGATCATTGTTCTGTAGACTTTTCAAGAGAAGGATGGCACCAGCATTTGTTTATGGTGAGGGTTCAGGGAACTTCCATTCCTGGTAGAAAGAGAAGGGATGCAGGCATCACATGGTGAGAGGAACAAAAGGAGAGGGAAAGTATCAGGCTCTTTTTCACAGTCAGATCTCATGGGAACTGATAACAGTGATAATTCACTCATTATCCCGAGGATGGCACCAAGCTGTTCATGAGACACCTGCCCTTGTGACCCAAACACCTCCCACTAGGCTCACCCCCAACATTGGACATCAAATTTCAACATAAGCTTTGGAAGGGACAAATATCCAAACTATATCAAATGGTTAGAAAACTAAATTTAAAATATTTGAAGGAAGATTATTAATATATCTTCTGCTGGGGCAGTTTCATAGAAGGGTGAGGATGACATGAGTATCTTATTTCTTTTTAAATTTATTGACACTGCATTAATTGACAGGACATTATATTTGGATCATGCTCCTCTTCTGGATCAATAAGACTGCTATGGCTCATGAAACTTTCTCCATGAAACCTAGGCTTCACTGTTTATAGAGGAAGGGATCCACAACAGAAATTTGGGGAGCTGGTTGACCAGCATTAGGGACATATAATCTAAATTAGAGTTGGAACATAACCCAAAGCACATGACCTAAAAGTGAGGAAGACATGATTCTCTAGGAGAAAACAATGATGCAGTCAACTTCGTCAATAAATAAAGGTTTCAAGAAGAAAAAACACATACAAAGCAACAATTTACTGCTGCAACTTTTAAAAAGTGACCATATAATTGGTGTGTATCATGTATTAGTGTGCATCACTTCAAATGTTTCATGTTTATTCATCCATGCTTTTCTCATTGGATGCTGGAGAAAAATAAATTAAGTTGATGTCTGTCAATTGAAGTCATTTCTACAGGATGAGGAACTAAAATGAGAATGTTCATGTGGCATTTATGAAGTCAGGTAGCTAGTTAGTAGCAGGATTTTAGTCAAGTTCTGTCTGCACTCTAAAATACAAGGACTTTACATTATTCTGTGCTGTCCCCAGTAGGCATTGAATCAATTTTGAATGAAGCAATAAATAAATGAATAAGTAACTGCCTGAAATAAAATCTGTAGTTTCCCTGAAGCAGACAGGAACACCACTTCCATGACCTAATCTAAACCACTTGTTTGGTTGTGAACTATATACTCTTGAAAAAATCTGAATGATCATAACCGCCATCTCTTCCAGTGTAGTCACTCTTGCCTTGGTAAGAATAACTAAAATTTAGTGAGATTGAATAAATCATAACAATTGACCAATGCCAAAATAGAAAGATGGAATCAAAATGTTCTTTATTAGAAAAACTTAGGGAAAGAAGTTTGATGGACACAATGAGGATGTGATCATAGCATACATCCATTTTTATCAGCAGCTTAAAGTGAATGATACACATTTATTCTGTGAATATTGATGAAAAGAAGTAAATAGAAAAGTACATATAAGTTTGGTTTTTGTGTTGTATTTTTTTTAATCCAAGGATACAGTGGAATCGATTTTACCCTACACTTTTTTCTCCTTGTTTTCATACTCAAACACTATTTATCTTCTTTTCGCACCTCTAATTTTCAACCCCCGGTAGGAAATTATTTATTCAGTAATTTCTCTAGAATGTAGAAAGCAACCAAGTAAACCCTATGTGATGAGTCTTTAAGGCTCAACAAAGAAACAGCTTATTTTGTTTGTTTTTAAGTTTCTTTCCTTGCAGCTCCAGCTAAGCGGAGAAGCTGCTTATTTTAAAGAAGGACTTTAGGGAGGATGGCTTGAGCTCAGGAATTTGAGGCTGCAGTGAGCGGTGATCACGCCACTGCACTCCAGCTGGATGATAGGGTAAGACTCTGTCTCTAGAAATAAAAAATAATAAATAATAAAATAAAGACATGCTTTAGACTATTTTCTGAAATAAAAATTCTACATAATTGCTGTAGAGGAAAATTTTTAAAATTAATTAACATTTGTACTCTGAACATAAAGTACCATTTTGTCCACAGCTAATAACAACAAGAGTTAAAATCATCTAGCTAAAGATTTATCACTTATGGAATGTTGAAACTTTTGATAAAGTCTTTAGTGGCATTCATAGTCATGGTCCACTATGAATTTAACTTATAAAATTTTATAATTCTAATAAATAATAATCTGAACTGTGATGTCATAGGTAGGATTTTATCTATTCAAAGTAAATCATATGTGGAGTGCAGGATTTCACTGAGTTGCATTTCTGTAACTTCACACTACATGCTGCTCAGGGTTTTCGAGAAGGTCTCAGGCTATCTGTATCATTTAATGATAACCAACTACTATAAGATCTTATCACTCTAAAGCACATGTAACGTGTACATTAATTTTTGATAGTTCTCTTACATGCCTCTTATGTGCTATCAACAAATATTTTTTTAAGAATCAAAGAAAAAGCACTCTTCTGGTCATTTTGTTTGAATTGAAAGAACATAGACCCTGAAGACGTTTGCAGTTTAATTGACATGTGAGAGATGCATAAAAGTCATCTGCCAATATGAGACTGTATTAGCTGTCAAGTAAATGCATGCACAGTTTGCATGATTATCTTTCTAAAAGAGCACAATCACTTGAGAATGGACTCCCGGATAGCTAACTGGCAGTGTAGGTGATTCAGCTTCACGGACAAGGGACCACAGTTGTCAACTTCTTATGAATGAAATCCTGTCTTGGCTATGTATGATCTGGAGAAAATTATTAACATCTCTGTCCTTCAATTTCTAACATTAAAATGGATACTTATATTAAAAATAGCCTATATCATTGTTATAAATATTAATTATATAATAAAAACCACTTAACATAGTGATCCATAAATATGAGCAGCATTATTTGGAAGATGAGAGTTTCCATAGCTTAAGAAATGGGAGAATTGAGTAATTTTTCTTTAAGAAAAATTACTAAATATCTTTGTCTCTTTAAAGCACTAAGCTTTAAACACTGTAATGTGTTGAAGTAGACCTAAGCCAGTTGTAACTTTCTTTTATATTAAGTATATTCCTACAAATATGCTTCTTCTAAGAGAAAAACAATTATTGATCACTTAAAGTGCATCTTAAAATTCATAAAATCTTCCTAGATAGACTCATATTTTCTAGAGATTTATCATAGTTGGTAAAACGGTGGTTATTGAGATGGTAGCTAAGAGATATCCTTGCCTCTTTTGCATTCCTAGAATAATAGTGTAGTTATTTTTTGTGGCATTGTGCTAATATGAATGAAACAATTGTACTGAAATTAAGCTTTTGAGTTAGCATGATCTAACGTAGGCTAAAAAAACTATTAGCTTGAAAAGTCACCATTACAACTTCATTAATTGTTTAAAAACCCTAGAATTTTCTTTTTATTACTATAGGAATTGCATTTCACAAAGCTGTTATATACTGCTTGAGGAACAATTAAAGGGATTTAAAATAGAAAACAAATATGATCACAATCTGTAGATTCAGAAAAGTATTTTATAAAACGCAATAAAAATGGTGTCATAAAGTTTTGAGGGCTTTCGCTAGTTTCATTATAAGACTATGATCCATGGAGTTGAAAATATTGTATACAAGAGCTTGAGATATTAGATTTGTCTTTCTGGTCCCTGAAATATAGATTTGGAGAAGTTGGTCTAGGACAGATCTGGCAAATTAAAAAAAAAAAGTGTGTATGTGTGAATATATACTTACATGCATATATTTGTGTGCATATTTATAAATCCATATACATACACACTCGTATCATTTATAGCATATGCTGAATGTATTTATCAACAAATTTATTTTATTACCATTACTCTATACATTTCTGAGTCTGTTTTCAAAAACTATCCAAGCTGTAATAGAAAGCCTTCAGCTTATTCAACTAAAATGAATTCCCCTATGAAATCCATGAGATTCTAATTTATCAGTTTTTTCACTGAATACTGTATAGATGTGCATACAAAATTTATAAGAATATTTTTATGTGAAAGATAAAAATCGTGGGGTTACCTGATATATACTTATCTCAGAAACTTTTAAAAACTTAAATAAGGCAGGGCGCGGAGGCTCATGCCTGTAATCCCAGCACTTAGGGAGGCCAAGCCTGGCGGATCACCTGAGGTCGAGAATTCGAGACCAGCCTGACCAACATGGAGAAACCCCATCTCTACTAAAAATACAAAATTAGCCGGGCGTGGTGGCGCATGCCTGTAATCCCAGCTACTCGGGAGGCTGAGGCCGGAGAATGGCTTGAACCCGGGAGGCAGAGGTTGCAGTCAGCTGAGATCGCGCCATCGCACTCCAGCCTGGGCAACAAGAGCGGAACTCCGCTTCAAAATAAATAAATAAAATAATTTAAAAAAATAAAAATATACGAAATTTTGTTTGTTCATTTTTAGAGACAGAGTCTTCCTGTCCCCCAGACTGGAGTACAGTGGCACGTCATAGCTTGTTGCAGCCTCAAACTCCTGTGCACAAGCAGTCCTCCCACCTCAGCCTCCCAAGTGGCTGGAATTATAGGTAGGCACCACAGTACCCGGTTAATTTTTTAAAGTTTTTTATAGTGGCAGGATCTCACTGCATTGCCCAGGCAGGGCTTGAATTCCTGGTCCCAAGCGATTCTCCTAGCTCAGTCTCCCAAAGTCCTGAGATTACAGATGTCAGCCACCATGTCTGGCCTTATTGAAACATTTTGAATGTCTTATTTTAAAATAATACAATTATTTTGTTGGGTTATGTCATTAAAGAGTTCAAAAGAAATTTCTGTTGACTTTTAACAATTATTCTCCACTATAAGAAGAAAGAAAAAATATTTATTTATTCATGGGCAACATTGATATAGATAATAAGTATAATAACATTTTAGAAATTTTTTAAAAAGTTATCTTTGTAAAGAATAAAGTTATACCTATTAGCCACAAGCAAATCAGAGAAAAATTCACTAAAAGATAGAAATCAAATTAAAAATTGATACACAGATCTTTCTCTCTCTCTCTCTCTCTCTGTCTCACATACACACACTTTCTCTCTCATGCACACACACTTCTCTCTCTCTCTCACACACACACACAATAAGTTGTGTAAATATAATATAGGACCGTTGCATTGGAAAGAGTATTAAATGTGGCAAAATGCTGAAGAACAAACTCAAATTAATTTTTCAGGATATGTATTTAAAATAAAAATAAACACTACTGAAAACTGAAAATAATATAAATAAGTTTCAATTGGTTTTTGATAAGTCAATTTGAGTTAAGATTATAAATATGTGGACAAGTTTGAAAATATGGCAAGCAAGGCATATCCAACTGCCAGTGTAGAATTGCAAAATAAGTAACAGAGAGATGTATAGAAGGTTGTATAGATAGGAACAGAGTCATTGTTGTTCTTTAGAGCCAGTAGTCCAGAAAAAGAATGGAACATTGATTGGAGATAACAAAAAGCAACCTGGGAGGAGACAATAAAGTCCTTTAACACCTTTGCGTCTGTCATTCCCCATACCTAAGGACACCTCAGTGTCCTTCAGAAAGTGATGGTTGTTGCTTCACTTCTACCTTCCAAATCTAATGGAAATTCCTCTTTTGGTCATTTTTAACTGGAGACTATTTGGAAGGAAATTCTGGATGTCATACTCTCAGTTTCATCAGATTTACCCACTACAGAATCACTACTGTCGATTACTTGTCCACTTGGCTAATCCACACCTTTTACAGCCATGGTTAATTTCCAAATAAAATAGCAAAATCACACTACCACCTTATTTGGTACAACTATTAGAAAGGCTTGGCTTTTACTCTAATTGTATAAGAGAAACACATTAAATATAACATAATGGATTATAATAGTAATAATTGAGGTGGTGAAACTGTTCTAATAATGGATATATCTTGAAAAATTGGTATCAGACATAAAGAATGAGAGATGAAGAATGACAAATTGGAAGGCCAAGATAGGAGGATCACTTGAGGTCAGGAGTTTGAGACCAGCCTGGCCAACATGGTGAAAACCCATCTCTACTAAAAATATCAAAAAAATTAGCTGGGTGTGGTGGTGCAGGCCTGTAGTCCCAGCTGCTCAGGAGGCTGAGGCACAAGAATCGTTTGAACCCAGGAGCTGGAGGTTGCAGTGAGTCGAGATCGTGCCACTGCACTCCAGCCTAGGTGACAGAGTGAGGCTCTGTTTAAAAAAAAACAAAAGACAGGAATGACAGCAAAGTTTTAAACCTAAACAACAGGAAGGATGCAGTGTCCATTACTTGGAATGAAGAAAACTATGGAAACATTATGTTGGGTTGGAAGGAACAAAAAATTCCATTGTGCATATTCTAAAATTGAGATGAATATTCCATGTTGCCATGTGAAGTATGTGGTTGAATATCCGAATCTAGAGTTCAGTACAGAGTTCTGGGTGGAATCATAAGGCTCTAGGTGGTCTTTCAGAAAGAAAGATTTAGTAGGATCACCCAGAGAGTGACTGTAGATAGAGACTAGGACCAGGTAGGGTACTTCAGATTTAAGAGGCAAAATACATAAGGTGAATCAAACAAAAGTTATGATTAAAAATCTTGTCATGAGGTAAGAAGAAAAGCAGGAGTGTAAAATATCCTAAAAAACATGTCCACTATTAACTGTTTTGTTTTCCAAAAAACAAAGGAATGAACAACAGAAAATGCTACTGACATGGCAATAAATCCATGGTCAGAGGCATGACCATTGGATTTACCTATGTGAAGATCTTTTGTGCTTTGCAAAGATCATTTGTGGTGTGGCGATATGAGTAAAAGCCTGATTGGACTAGGATCAATAGAGAATGAAGGTGGAGGGGACTGAAGATAGTAAATTACACTACTTTTTTTTCAAAGGACATTCCTGTAAAGGAAAACTAAAAACATAAGGAGGGGAGTGTATAACAGGAATGGGTAGTTTGATAAAAATGTATTTTTAATGGAAGAAATAACATCATAGGAGACTTCTTTGAGGAGGAAAAAGTGATGCAACCTAGAGCACAAGTGGTAGGGTTGACCTTAGTGAGAAAAGAGTATGCAATATTCAACAATATAAATCCTCATTTGGGTAGGAGTTTCATTTTATTTTGTTTCTTCATTGAGCATACAGTCCTCGTCTAACATGGAGCCAGGTGTTTAGTAGGTGCACAATAAACATTTGTTAAATAAAAGAATAGTAATAAGATGGATGGTAAAATATATTAACATAGGTAATGAAAATATTTTAGTAGGTAACATTTTTTGGAAAATCTCCTCTTGGTACTTCTACTTTATGAGGGAAACAGGAAACATGGTCATTACTTCAAAGACAGAATTGGAGAGGATGTTTTAGAAATTTCAGGATAGACAAGTTACAAAATATGAGATGTATATTTATCCTGTATGAAATATTCAAGTTATATTGCCAAATGAAAAAACAAGGAGGGGGGGACTAAAAACATTACTAAAATGAACTCTGCTCATGAAAACTTGAAAGTCCGCTTTATTCTTACTAAAATGTATAATTATTTTTAGTTACTTTTAGAGTGGGGCTGAATTTAGGGAGACTAATTAGGGCTACTGGAGAAGATACTTAAAAAAAATTAAATATAAACTGCTGTACATGGTTTGAGAATTTACCTTTTCTATACATATAAATTTTAATTGAATTTTGAAAAGTGTTGACAGAAAAAAATATTTAATGGAGCCTGTACTAAATTTTAAGTATAAAAGTAGCAAACATTTTTGACTATTTTGTAGATGTGATTGTCCTTTCACACTTTCTCCTCAAGTGTCTTCAATTTTAAAGATGAGCATCTGAGGCTCAAGGAAGCAAGATAATTTGTTTGTAGCATACCGTTAGTAAGTAGTGGTATTCAAATCACAGTTGTTAATAGATATAAAGCATTTTTGAATAAACATACTATTTGTTTTTGGAAATATTTATAACAGCATTTTAGATAATTGTAAATAAAATAGGACATTTTAATATATGCTAAAGTTGTAAGTTAACAAAATATAAATCAAAATATGAACATCATACGCGTTTCAATTAAGTGTATACACTAATATATTCTACTTATCAATACCAACACCCAGATCAGAAATTTAGCTGTGAAAAAGAATCATCTTTTTGTTTCCTTGTGGTGGTACTGGGCTTTCAATTTTGTTTTTGTTTTGGTTTTATCTAAAGATCAATAGTAAATTATAAAACCTTTCTAATTTCCATTTCTGATGCTTAGGATTCCTTTTTTTGTATCATTTTAAGACACTCTGTCACCCAGGCTGGAGTGCAGTGGTGCGATCACAGCTCACTGCAGACTTGACCTCCCAGGATCAAGCAATCCTCCCACCTCAGCCTCTTGGAGTAGCTGGGACTACAGGTGTGTGCCACTTGTGCCTGGCTAATTTTTGTATTTTTTGTAAAGATGGGGTTTCCTCATGTTGCCCAACCTTGTCGCGAACTCTTGGGCTCACACAATCCTCTCCCAAAGTGCTGAGATTAGGTATAAGTCACTGCACCAGTCCTGACTGGTGTTTAAAGTTTAAACTGACTAAGGTATCAGGTCAAGGGTAAGGAAAGAAAAAAACAAAAACAAAAACAAAGTAATATAGTCATTAAATTAAAAAAAAAAAACTAAAATACATGTTGCATGTAACACTCAGAAATACTGAATATTCAGAAAATATTCAGACTTTTTCCACATATTGAAACATAGCATTTCTTAACTACTTCACTCAATTGTCCATCCTTTAAAATTAAAATTAGATTTATATATGCATTTTTAATCACGTTCAGTTCTGTATTAGTCTGTTTTAATGCTGCTGATAAAGACATACTCAAGACTGGGTAATTTATAAAGAAAAACAGATTGAATGAACATCAGTTTGGCCTTATCTTCATGTCTTGTATTATTTATATGTTATGTTTTAGAAGGTCAGAGGTCTCTGAAGCACTTAGAATTATTAAGTACCATCATAAGGTATATTGATTTTATGTACTCATCATCATCAGTAGTGGTTTAGCTTACGTTTGGTTATTGAAAGAGCATACACAAGGCACTTACCTGGTAATCTAAAATAAAGACTTGACAGTGAATTTTTTGTAAGGCAATTATGGAATACAGTTTTAAGAACATAAATCTTAGGCTACAAAAATCAACAACTAATAATGTCATGAATCTGAAAAATCATTTCTTTACCTTTAACTTAATACTTATAATGTAGAGAATGACCTTGATTTACTGGACATTTGTAATTATCCTAATCACCAATCAGAGTAATCCTGTAAAATAAAACTGTAGGATATGAAATTTGTATCCTGTTTTTCGTTAAATAATTTTTTCTTTTCATTTAAATTATATAAATATAGTATTTTAGAATAGCCAATCCATTGCATTCATGCATTTTTAACCACTTTCAGGTCTCTGTTAGTCTGTTTTAATGCTGCTGATAAAGTCATACCTAAGACTGGGTAATTTATAAAGAAAAACAGATTTAATAAACACAGTTCCATATGGCTGACGAGGCCTCATGGCCATGATGCAAGGTGAAAGGCACTTCTTACGTAGCAGCAGGCAAGAGTCAAATGAGAGCCTGAGAGTCAGCAAAAGGGGAAACCCTTTATAAAATCATCAGATCTCGTGAGATTTACTCAGTACCATGAGAAGAGTATGGGGGAAACCATCCCTGTGATTCAATTATCTCCCACCAGGTCCCTCCCACAACACGTGGGAATTATGGGAGCTACAATTCAAGATGAGATTTGGGTGGGAACACAATGAAACCACATCAAGATCTTCTGATGGTATAACTCTTTTCTTAAAAATAACTAAGGATAAAATACTGTCTATTAACCCTTCATAGCTTCTAAAGTACACAACACAGCTGTCAAAACAAGAAATAAACTGACAGATAATTAGAAATAAAGTAAAACTCTATCACCTCTTAATGATGGATGCCCATAGATACACAAATACATGTAAAATGCAAAATAAATCATAATACTGTATCTTAATATTAGAATAAACATCAAAGTTTTTTTTTTAATTGTACACTCTGGCAATGAACTTGTAATACATTTTTTCTTCAGTAGGGAATACAAGTCTCAAGGAGTTAAGATATGTATGCAAAATTACAGAGTCATTCAATAGCACTGTGGACAGTATATTTTGTAAGCTAGACATAATTTTTAAGAACATTTGTTCTTATATAAATAGAATAATGTTCGTTGCAATTTACCACTCTGGCATTAGACAATAAAAGAAACTAAAAAACAACAGCCTCAATGTTTTTCATGTGGATTGTGATATGCAGAAGAAAGGGCCCCAAAAGATTTCCATGCCCTAATCCCTGAAACCTGTGAATATGTTGAACGTGTTACGTTACATGCAGAAGGAACATTGTAGATGACTGAGGTTAAGGACCATGAGATGGAGAGAACAGCCAGAATTTTCTGGACATGCAATCTAATCACATGTATCCTTAAAAGCTAAGAATATTTCCTTATTGTAATGAAAGGGGAAATGTGACCACAGAAGGGTCAGAGAGATGCAATGTGTCTGGCTTTGAAGGTTTTATTTTTTCAATTTGTATGCATTGTGTTTACAATTATCTATCCCACATTATTACATTATTTGCACATTAATTAAGTTTTTCCTATGTTTTTAAATGGGTGTATTTCTTTTTTCTCAATATCTAGAGATAATGGGAATATTGATTTCTTTACCATTTAGTAGAATATTTAAAATCAGAATTATATATATTTTACTTATAACAACATTACCTCCTCTGATGTGAATTAGGAATGCTAGCATGGACTTTGCATGCTGGAAATAATGTATAAACACCCGCATAATTAATTATCAAGGCTATTTATTATTTAGAAGAAAATTGCCAGCAATCAATGTCTTTAAACACAGTCTTTTAAAAAATATACTGAAATGGTATTATTTACTATATCAATCTGTCTTCCTAGTAGAAACGTAGTAAAATAAACTGTCAGAGAATTATTTTCCACTCATGTAAAATAAAGCATTACATGTCATTTTGGGATATGTAAAATACTTGAAATACCTGTAAAATAAATATAATATGTACAAAGACAATACCACAGTCAAAATAATGTTATTAAAGTAGTTTGTTTAATATTAAGCAGTGAAAAACATTCGGGCACTATGTCTGGAGGAAAAAGAGTAGGTGAAAGATTATAGTTAATCAAATACAAATTTCAAAAATAGACTTATCCATTCTCACTAATGCAAGACCTAGTGTTTTACTATGCTGTTTATTTTAAGCATTTTAAAAAACAACATTAAAAATCCCTCCTAAACCTAGGAAGCACACACAATACAACAAATTTAATAAAAATTGATTTATCTGTAAAATGTATTTGTATTTAATTTTCAATATTGTATTAAATTTGCAAATGTTTTCATATTAAATCTCAGTATGTATTTTTTTGATTTGTATTCATGGAAGAGTTTTCAGTGTGAAATATCATGGTTTCAACATCCAGGAAGTTTCAGATTCTCTTAAAATGAAGAATTGTCTATCATTTTCATTAAAGGTAAACAAGTATAATTTCAGCTTTTGAGAGATAAATGAGTATTTTTCCATTACGATTTGTTAGACAAAGACAAAAAATGAAGAATAGTAAGAAGATAAAAGTAAAGATGTGAAACCAAAAATAAAGAGTAAACAATATATGTGTTTTTAAAGAAAAATTTATCTTTAAATCAGTTCTTGAATTAAGAATTTTCATTAATTGTTTTAGAATTTTTGATCCACTTTCAATTTTTTAATTATTATAGGGCAGTTAAGAAAAATTGCTTTAAGAAAGAGTAATTGAAATTATCAACTCAAAAACATATTTTTAATTTTCCTGCTGAAAACATTTAAGTGAGTTCAATTTGCTTTAGAATAATAGCTAAATTCTTTAACATGAAAAATGAAGTTTGCCTGACAGTTGCTTACTTATTCTCAGTTCTGAACAGCCCCTATATTAATCTCTGCATTCAAAATACAAACATCTAAAAATCTCCTAACTACAGAAACATTTCCGTGATCAAGCTAGTAAATCATAAACAGTATCACAACCTGAGACAAGGCAATTATTAACCTTATCAATTTAAAATATGCAGTAGTAGTAGTCTTCTCACATTCCTTTTTATTTCACTGGTCTGGTACCTACAAAAATGAGATATATGCTGATGAGTTAAATTATTACATATAGGACATTTTCTCTCTTGCCTTATACTACACCCTCTAAGTTTCCTAAGGTTCTGAAGAGAGAACAGGTCACGTTTGGGAATACTGCTCGAATGTATTTATGTAGTGATATGAAATTTTCCAGCGTTGAAATGGTGCTCAAAAAATGGAAAGACTCAACAGCAGGTACAGGCTGTAGTAAAGTAGCTTTGCCATCTGGGCTATATGACAGGGCAGACACTATAGCACTAAAAACATCTGTGGTGAGAAAAGGTATGAAGTTGAGTTAATGCAATCCTAATTAGGAGAAACACAACATAAACTCCATCAGTGATGAAGCAATACCAAGCTATCAGCAGGAGATTATTACACACCATTCAAATACACCTGACCATGGAACCCAGGTGACTACACCGTCAGAAGTGAGCATCACAAGTTGAGTTCTTTTAGATCACCAAGCCATAATGTTAGGTGAATTCATCAACATTCCATACTAAGATGAAAATGTATACTTGAGATTCAGCATAAGGAGGCTTAGAGGGCACAAGTAAGTGATACAAACAGATGGGCACTGTTTTTGTTTTTCAATAGTGTACACTTATGCTTGTCCACTAGGTCATGCCCATGACCATATGACTGTATTCTTATGGCAAGCTGATGGAGAAAAAGGTAAGGTTCAGTTCATGAGCAGATTGACTGAGAATGTCAGTGGGAACAAAACAGAAACTACTGCTGCATACAGCCCAATCTGTGCCCCGAAAGAGAGTAGAATAGAGAAATTTTTGCAATAGGCAAAACTTTGACTAGGATACCTAGCCAGCCACTCTGCAGTAAAATAAATAACTCTTGATAAAAATATACCGACTTCTTTTAAAAAATTTGTAAATTTACAGGGTAGAAGTATAGCTTTTTAGTATGGATATGTTGCCTAGGGGTGAAGTCTGAGCTTTTTGTGTAAACTCCCACATGTACCCATTAAGTAATTTTTCATCCCTTACCCCACTCTTACCCTCTCACCCTTCTGAGTCTTCAGTGTCTATTATTCTATTATTCAACACTTTATGCCTATATGTATACATTCTTTAGCTTCCACTTATAAGTGAGAAAATGCAGTATTTGACTTTCTGAGTTTTTTCATCTGAGATAATGACCTCTGGTTTCATCTATGTTGGTGAAAAATATGTAATTTCATTCTTATTTATGGCTGAGTAGCTTTTCATAGCATTTATGTGCTACATATATATGATGTTTACTTTATCCAGTCATTCATTGATAAACATTTAGGTTGACCCCATCTCTTTGTTATTGTGAATAGTGCTGCAATGAACATACGCTTGCCAGTATCTTTTTAATATAATGATTTCTTTCCCTTTGGGTAGATACTCAGTAGTAGGAATTGTTGGATTGAATGGTAGTTCTATTTTTAGTTCTTTGAGAAATCTCCATACTGTTTTCCATAGAGGTTGTACTCATTTGCATTCCTACTAACAGTGTATAAACCTTCCCCTTTCCTGACATCTCACCAACATCTGTTATTTTTTGACTTTTTAATACTAGCTATCCTGATTTGTGTCAAATTGGTATCAAATTAGTGTCAAACCTCATTTTGTTTTTAATTTGACTATTTCTGATAATTAGTAATGTTGAGCATTTTTTCATATGCTTATTGGCCATGAATATGTCTTCATTTGAAAAATATTTATTCATGCCCTTTGTCCACTTTTTAATGGGACTAGTTGAGTTTGTTGTTGTTGTTGTTGTTGTTGTTGATGTTGATGTTGTCGCTGAGTTGTTGGAGTTTCTTGTAGATTCAGGATATTAGTCCCTTGTCACATACGTAGTTTGTAAATATTTTCTCCCATTTTGCAGGGTATCTGTTCCCCCTGTTGATTATTTCTTTTGTCGTGCAAAAACTTTTCAGTTTAATTAAACACAATTAGTCTATTTTTGTTTTTGTTGCATTTGCTTTTGAGGATTTAGTCATGAATTTTTTTGCCTAGGCCAATGTCCAAGAGTTTTTCCTGTTTTCTTTCAGGATTTTCATATTTTCAGGTCTTACATTTAAGTCTTTAATCCATCATGAATTAACTTTTGTATGTGTTGAGAACTAAGGGGTCCAGTGTCATTCTTCATATGACAATCCAATTTTCCCAATACATTTGTTGAATTGAGTGTCCTTTCTTTCCCCAGTGTATTTCCTGTGTATGTTTTTGTCACCTTTATCAAAGATCAGTTGGCTATAAGTATGTGGCTTAATTTTGTGATTCTCTGTTCTGTTCTGTTGATCTGTGTCTCTAGTTTTATACCAGTACCATACTATTTTGGCTACCATAGCCTTGCAGTATAATTTGAAGTTAGGTAATGTGATGCCTCTTTTTGGTTCCATATGAATTTTTTTCTGTTCCAAGAAAAATGGCATTTGTATTTTGATAGAAATGCATTGAATCAGTAAACTGCTTTGTGTAGCATGGTCATTTTAATAATATTCATTCATTTAATAATATTGATGAGCATATATTTTTCCATTTGTTTGTGTCATCTACAATTTCTTTCATAAGTGTTTTGTAGTCTTCCTTGTAGAGATCTTTCACCTCCTCTTTGGTTAATATATTTCTGAGTTTTATTTATTTATTTTTCTAGCTATTATAAATGGGATTGCCATCTTGATTTGGTTTTCAATTGAAAATTATTAGTATATAGAAATGCTACTAATTTTTATACATTGAGTTTGCATTCTGATATGTTACGAAATTCATTTATCAAATCAAGAAGTATTTTGGAGGAGTTTTTTTTTTTAAGAAATATCTCATTGTGATTTTATTTTACATTTCCCTAACTATCAGTGAGTTTAACATCTTTTTATGTGCTCATTGGCAGTTTTTTTTTTTAATTTTACTTTAAGTTCTGGGATACATATGCAGAATGAGCAAGTTTGTTACATAGGTATACATGTGCCATGGTGGTTTGCTGAAACTATCAACTCATCATCTAGGTTTTAAGCCTGGCATGCATTAGGTATTTGTCTTAATGCTCTCCCTTCCCTTGCCTCCCACCCCCTGACAGGCCCTGGATGGAGTGTAATGTTCCCCTCCCTGTGTCCATATGTTCTCATTGTTCAACTCCCATTTATGAGTGAGAACATGCAGTGTTTGGTTTTCTGTTCCTGTGTTAGTTTGCTGAGAATGATGGTTTCCAGCTTTATCCATGTCCCTGAAAAGGACATAAACTCATACTTTTTACAGCTGTATAGTATTCCATGTTGTATATGGGCCACATTTTCTTTATCCAGTCTATCATTGATGGGCATTTGGGTTGGTTCCATGTCTTTACTATTGTGAACAGTGTTGCAATAAACATACATGTGCATGTGTCTTTAGAGTAGAATGATTTATAATCCTTTGGGTATATGCTGGGTCAAATGATATTTCTAGTTCTAGATCCTTGAGGAATCACCACACTGTCTTCCACAAAGGTTGAACTAATTCACACTCCCACCAACAGTGTAAAAGTGTTCCTATTTCTCCAGAGCTCACCAGCATCTGTTGTTTCTTGACTTTTTAATGATTGTCATTCTAACTGGTGTGAGATGATATCTCATTGTGGTTTTGATTTGCATTTCTCTAATGACCAGTGATTATGACATTTTTTTCATATGTTTGTTGGCCGTATAAATGTCTTTTGAAAACTCTCTGTTCATATTCTTTGCCCACTTTTTAATGGGTTTGTTTGTTTTTTCTTGTAAATTTGTTTAAGTTCCTTGCAAATTCTGGATATTAGACCTTTGTCAGGTGGATAGATTGCAAAAATTTTCTCCCATTCTTTAGGTTTCCTGTTCACTCTTATGAGAGTTTCTTTTACTGAGCAGAGGTTATTTTGTTTAATTAGATCCCATTTGTCAATTTTGGCTTTTGTTGCCATTGCTTTGGTGTTTAATCATGAAGTCTTTGTCCATGCCTATGTCCTGAATGGTATTACCTAGGTTTTCTTCTAGGGTTTTTATGGCTTTAGGTTTTACATTTAAGTCTTTAATCCATCGTGAGTTAATTTTTGTATAGGGTGTAAGGAAGGGGTCCAGTTCCTGTTTTCTGCATAGGGCTAGACAGTTTTCTCAGCCCCATTTATTAAATAGTGATTCCTTTCCCCATTGCTTGTTTTTGTCAGGGTTGTTGAAGATCAGTGCTTGTAGATGTGTGGTGTTATTTCTGAGAACTCTGTTCTGTTCCATTGGTCTATATATCTGTTTTGGTGCAAGTACCATGCTGTTTTGGTTACTGTAGCCTTGTAGTATAGTTTAAAGTAAGGTAGTGTGATGCCTCCAGCTTTGTTCTTTTTGCTTTGGATTATCTTGTCTAGACAGGCTTTTTTTTAGTTCCATATGAAATTTAATCTAGTTTTTTTTTTTTAATTCTGTGAAGAATGTCAATTGTAGCTTGATGGGAATACTATTGAATTCATAAATTACTTTGGGCAGTATGGCCATTTCCACGATATTGATTCTTCCTATCCATGAGCATGGAGTGTTTTCCATTTGTTTATGTCCTCTCTTATTTCCTTGAGCAGTGGTTTGTAGTTCTCCTTAAAGAGGTCCTTCATATCCCTTGTAAGTTGTATTCCTAGGTATTTTATTTTCTTTGTAGCAATTGTGAATGGAAATTCACTCATGATTTGGCTCTCTGCTTATCTATTATTGGTGTATAGGAATGCTTGTGAATTTTGCACATTGATTTTGTATCCTGAGACTTTGCTAAAGTTGCGTATCAGCTTAAGGAGTTTTTGGGCTAAGATAATGGTTCTAAATATACACTCATGTCATCTGCAAACAGAGACAATTTGACTTCTTCACTTCCTATTTGAATATCCTTTATTTCTTTCTCTTTCCTGATTGCCCTGGCCAAAACTTCTAATCCTGTTGAATAGAAGTGTTGAGAGAGGACATTCTTGTCTTGTGCCGGCTTTCAAAGGGAATGCTTCCAGCTTTTGCCCATTCAGTATGATATTTTCTATGGGTTTTTCATAAGTGGCTCTTATTATTTTGAGATATGTTCCATCAATACCTAGTTTATTGAGAGTTTTTAGCATGAAGGAATTTGATCAAAGGGTTTTCTGGCATCTGTTGAGATAATCATGTGATTTTTATCATTGGTTCTGTTTATGTAATGGATTACATTTATTGATTTGCCTTATGTTGAACGAGTCTTGCATCCCAGAGATGATGCTGACTTGATCGTGGTGGATAAGCTTTTTGATGTGCCACTGGATTCGGTTTGCCAGTATTTTATTGAGGATTTTTGCATCGATGTTCATCGGGGATCTTAGCCTGAAATTTTCTTTTTTGTTGGGTCTCTCCCAGGTTATGGTATTAGAAAGATGCTGACATCACAAAATGAGTTATGGAGGAGTCCTTCTTTTTCTGTTGTTTGGAATAGTTTCAGAGGAAATAATACCAGCTCCTCTTTGTACATCTAGGACAACTAGGCTGTGAATCCATCTGGTCTTAAGCATTTTTTTTTTTTTTTTTTGGTTGGTAGGCTATTAGTTACTGCCTAAATTTCAGAACTTGCTATTGATCTATTCGGGGATTCAAGTTCTTCCTGGTTTAGTCTTGGGAGCGTGTATGCATCCAGAAATGTATCCATTTCTTCTAGATTTTCTAGTTTATTTCCATAGAAGTGTTTATAGTACTCGCTGATGGTAGTTTGTATTTCTGTGAGATCAGTAGTGATATCACTTCTATCTTTTTTATTGTGTCTATTTGATTCTTCTCTCTTTTCTTCTTTATTATTCTGGCTAGCAGTCTATCTATTTTGTTAATCTTTTTTTAAAAAATAAACAGCTCCTGGATTCATTGGTTTTTTTGAAAGGTTGTGTTTTGTCTCTATCTCCTTCAGTTCTTCTCTGATCTAGTTATTTCTTGTCGTCTGTGATCTTTTGAATTTGTTTGCTCTTGCTTCTCTAGTTGTTTTGTTTGTGACATTAGGGTGTCAATTTTAGATCTTTCCCACTTTCTGATGTGGGCACTTACTGCTATAAATTTCCCTCTTAACACCGGTCTAGCTGTGTCCCAGATATTCTGATACATTATCTCTTTGTTCTCATTGATTTCAAAGAACTTCTTTATTTCGGCTTTAATTTTATTATTTACCCAGTAGTCATTCAGGAGCAGGTTGTTCAGTTTCTGTGTAGTTGTGCGGTTTTGAGTGAGTCTCTTAATCCTGAGTTCTATTTTGATTGCACTGTGGTCTGAGAGACTGTTTGTTATGATTTCGGTTCTTTTGCATTTGCTGAGGAGTGTTTTATTTCCAATTATGTGGTTGATTTTAGAATAAGTGCTATGTGGTGCTAAGAAGAATATATATTCTGTTGATTTGGTGTTGAGAGATCTGTAGATATCTGTTAGGTCCACTTGGTCCAGAGCTGAGTTCAAGTCCTGAATATCCTTGTTAATTTTCTGTCTTGTTGATCTCTCTAATATTGGCAGTGGGGTGTTAAAGACTCCCACTATTATTGTGTGGGAGTCTAAGTCTCTTTGTAGGTCCCTAAGGACTTGTTTTATGAATCTGGGTGCTCCTGTATTGGCTGCATATATATTTAGAATACTTAGCTCTTCTTATTGCATTGATCCCTTTACTATTATGTAATGCCCTTCTCTGTCTCTTTTTTTAATCTTTGTGGCTTAAAATCTGTTTTATCAGGACTAAAGTTGCAATCTCTGATATTTTCTTGCTTTTTTTTTTTGATTTGCTTGGTAAATATTCCTCCTTTCCTTTACTTTGAGCCTATGCATGTCTTTGCACATGAGATGGGTCTCCTGAATACACCCTGATGGGAGCTTGACTTTTTATCCAATTTGCCAGTCTGTGTCTTTTCACTGAGGCATTTAGCCCATTTACATTTAAGGTAATTATTGTTATGTGTGAATTTAATCCTGTCATCATGATGCTAGCTGGTTATTTTCCACATTAGTTGATGCAGTTTCTCCACAGTGTCATTGATCTTTATATTTTGCTGTGTTTTTGCAGTGGCTAGTACTGCTTTTTCCTTTCCATATTTAGTGCTTCCTTCAAGAACTCTTGTAAGGCAGGTCTGGTGGTGACAAAATCCCTCAACATTGCTTGTCTGGAAATAATTGTATTTCTCCTTCACTTATGAAGATTAGTTTGGCTGGATATGAAATTCTGGGTTGAAAACTTTTTTCTTTAAGAATGTTGAATATTGGCCCCCCACACTCTTCTGGCTTGCAGGGTTTCTGCAGAGAGATCTGCTGTTAGTATGATGGGCTTCTCTTTGTAGGTAACCTGACCTTTCTCTCTGGCTGCCCTTAACATTTTTTCCTTCGTTTCAACCTTGGATAATGTGATGATTACGTGTCTTGGGGTTGCTCTTCTCAAGGAGTATCTCTGTATTTCCTTAATTTTAATGTTGGCCTCAACTTTCTAGTTGAGGAAGTTCTCCCAGATAATATTCTGAAGTGTGTTTTCCAACTTGTTTGTATTCTGCCCATCACTTTCAGGTCCACCAATCAATCATAGATTTGGTTTTTTCACTTAGTCCCTTATTTCTTGGAGGCTTTGTTTGTTCCTTTTCATTCTTTTCTTCTCTGATCTTCACGCCTTATTTCAGTAAGTTGATCTTCAATCTCTGATATCCTTTCTTCCACTTGATCGATTCGGCTACTGATACTTGTGTTTGCTTCACAAAGTTCTTGTGCTGTGTTTTTCAGCTCCATCAGATCGTTTATGTTCTTCTCTAAACTGGTTGTTTTAGTTAGCAGTTACTTTAACCTTTTATCAAGGTTCTTAGCTACCTTACTTTGGGTTAGAACATGCTCCTTTAGCTCAGAGGAGTTTGTTATTACCCAACTTCTGAAGCCTACTTCTGTCAATTCATCAAACTCATTCTACATCCAGTTTTGTGCCCTTGCTGGAGAGGAGTTGTGATCATTTGGAGGAAAAGAGGCATTCTGGTTTTTGGAATTTTCAGCATTATTGCACTGGTTTTTCCTCATCTTTATGGATTTATCTACCATTGATGTTTGAGGCTGATGACCTTTAGATGGGGTTTTTGTGTGGGGGTCCCTGTTGTTGATATTGATGTTATTGCTTTCTGTTTCTTAGTTTTTCTTCTAACAGTCAGGCACCTCTTCTGCAGCTCTGCTTCAGTTTGCTGGAGGTCCACTCCAGAGCCTGTTTGCCTGTGTATCAACAGCAGAGGCTGCAGAACAGCAAAGATTGCTGCCTGCTCTGCTCCTTCCTCTGGAAACTTCATCCCAGAGGGATGCTGACCTGATGCCAGCCGGAGTTCTCCTGTATGAGGTGTCTCTCAACCCCTGCTGGGAGCTCTCTCCCAGTCAGGAGGCTCAGGGGTCAGGGACCCACTTGAGGAGTCAGACTGTCGCTTAGCAGAGCTCAAGTGCTGTGCTTGGAGAATCTGGAGGAGTCTTTAGGGTTTCTTAGATTTAAGGTCATATCAGAAGCAAACAGAAATAATTTGATTTCCTCTTTTACAGTTTGGGTGCCTTTTATTTGTCTCTTTTGCCTCATTGCTCTGACTAGGAATTCCAGTACTATTTGAATAAGAGTGGTGAAAGTGGCATTTTTTCATGTTTCAGTTGTTAGAGGAAATGTGTTCAGCTTTTCTCTATTCAGTAAGATGTTGGCTGTGGGTTTGTCATATATGGATTTTATGATTTTGGCATATGTTCCTTCAATGCCTTGTTTATTGATGAGGTTTTTTTGTTTTGTTTTGTTTGTTTTTTGTTTTCGTTGTTGTTCTTTTTTCTTTTTCTTTTTTTTTTTAACAGGGTCTTGCTCTACCATCCAGGCTGGAGTGCAGTGATGCAATCACAGCTCACTTGAGCCTCAACCTCCTGGGTTCAAGTAATCCTCTCACTTCAGCCTTATGAGTAGTTGGGATTATAGGTGCACACCACCACACCCAGATAAGTTTTGTATGTTTTGTGAAGACAAGGTTTTGCCATGTTGTCCAGGCTGGTCTCAAACTCTTGGGCTAAAGCAATTCACCCACTTAGGTCTTCAAAAATAACAGGACTACAGGTGTGAGCCAGCATACCCAGCCTATTGATGGTTTTTATCTGAAGCTATGCTGAATTTTTATCAGATGCTTTTTCTGCATCTATTGATATGATCATATGTTTTTGTTTTTAGTTGTGTGTAGGTAGCAAATCAAATTTATTGATTTATGTATGTTAAACCATCATAGCATCCTTTTAACAAAATCCACTTGATTATCATGTATTATCTCTTTGATGTGTTGTTGGATTTGGTTTGTTAGTATTTTGTTTATAATTTTTGCATAGATGTTTACCAGGGATAATGATCTACAGTTTTGTTTTTTTCTGTCATGTCATTGTCTGGCTGTGGTCTTAGGTTGATGCTGGCATTGTAGAATGAGTTAGGGAAGATTCTCTCCTTTTTGATTTTTGGGAACCGTTTGAGGAGACTTGGAACCAATTCTTTGTAAACTGGTTGAAATTCAGCTGTGAATTCATCTAGCCCTGGGCTTTTGTTGTTGTTTTGAGACCTTTGATGACTGATTCAATTTCATTACTTATTATTCACCTGTTCGGAATTTTTATTTCTTCCTGGTTCAATCTTAGAAGATTGTGTGTTTCCAGGAATTTATTTACTTCCCATACGTTTTCTAGTTTGTGGTTATATTGTTCCTAGTTTCTGATTTTTTTTGTATTTCTATTGTATCAGTTGTAATGTCTCCTTTTTATTTCTGATTATGTTTATTTGGATAGTCTCTCTTGTTTCCTTGGTTTGTCTAGCTAGTGGTCTATCAATTTTATTTATCCTTTCAAAGAACTAACTTTTAATTACACTGATCCTTTGTATTATTCTTTCCTTTCCAATTTTATTTAGTTTGGCTCTTTGTTACTTATTTTCTTCTGCTAACTTTGGATTTAGTTTGTTCTTGTTTTTATAGTTGTTTGAGTTTCAATAGGTTTTAATTTGTGATCTATTCTTTTGATACAGACATTATTAAGGAGGAAAAAGATCTTTACAAGGAAAACTACAAAATCCTGATGAAAGAAATTACAGATGATACAAACATATGAAGAAATATCCCATGCCCAGGGAATGGAAGAATCAATATTATTAAGATGATCATACTACTGAAAAACAATCTACAGATTCAATGCAATTCTTACCAAAATACCAATAAAGTTTTCCCAGAAGAGGAAAATACAAATTTAAAACAGTTTCCTCTTAGCACTAATTTTGCTATAACCCAGAAGTTTTGGTATGCTGTAATTCCATTTTCATTTGTTTAAAATATTTTTAAAATTGATGTCTTAATTTTGCCTTTGACCCACAGATTGTTCAGGAGTAAGAGCATGTTGTTTCATTTCCACTTATTTGTATAGTTTCGACAGTTCCTCTTGGAATTAATTATGTTTTATTTCCTTGGGATCTGAAAAAAATATTTGGAATAATTTTGATTTTTTAAAATTTATGGATACTTATTTTTTGGTCTAACATATGGTTTATCTTGAAGTATGTTCCACGGGCTGATGAGGAGAATGTGTTTTCTGCAGCTGTTGAATATCTGTTAAGTCCATTTGGTTCAAAGTCCAATTTAGTTTCAGTTTCTTTTGTTGATTTTCTGTGTCTATGATGTCTGGGGTTGAAATCCCCCACTATTATTGTGTTGCTATCTATCCTTGCTTTAGGTCTAGCAATGTTTGTTTTATGAGTATGAGTGTTCCAGTGTTGGGTGCGCATATTTTAGAATTATTATATTTTCTTGTTGAATTTATCCATTTTCATTATATTATGGTCTTCTTTGTCTTTTATTGCTGCTTCTGATTTAAATTCTGTTTTGTATGATACAAATATAGCTACTTCTGCCTGCTTTTAGTTTCAGTTTATGTGGAATATCGTTTTCCACCCCTTCATCTCCAATATGTGTCTTTACTAGCAAGGTGAATTTCTTTTAAGTAGCATAAAGTTTATTCATTTTAAAAAAATCTATTTTGCTAATCTATACATTTTAAGTGGAGCATTTAATACATTTATTTTCAAGTTTAATATTGACATATGAGGTTTTGTTTCTGTTATTCTATTATTAGCTCTCTGCTTTGTATATTCTTTATTTTCATTTGTTTTTTCTCTGTCTTTGTGGATTAGTGGAATTCTATCATGTTGCCATTTGGTTTTTTTCCCTTCCTCTGAGTAATTGTTTTGTATTATCTGTAAGTTTTATACTTTTTTTTTATTATGACAAGTATCAACCTTTCATATTCATGTTTAGGACTATTCAGAGCATTTCTTGTAGGGCTGGTCTAGTGGTGATGAATTTTCTCAGCATTTGGTTCCCTGAAAAATAAAAAAAAACAACTTCATTTCTCCTTCATTTATGGAGCTTATTGCAGCCTGATACAAAGTTCATGGATTTCATTTTATTTCTTTAGGTCTTTTGAAAATAGAATCCCAATCTCTTCTGGCTATTAAAGTTTATTTTGTGAGAAGTGCACTGTTAGTTTTATAGAGTTTACCTTACAGGTGAATTAAAGCTTTTCTATTGCTGATTTTGGTATGTTTTTCCCATGTTCAACTTCTGAGATTTTAACTTCTGCTTAGTCTAGTCTGTTTTTGAAGTTTTCAAGTGTATTTTGTCATCTTGTCAATATGTATTTAATTTCCAAACTTTCTGTTTTTTTTAAGATTATCTCTGGTGAATTTCTCATTCATATCTCAAATAAATTTTCTGCTTTATTTGTATTCATTTTCAGATTGTCTATCTTATTGAGCTTCTTAAAAATTAGTATTTTAAATTTTTTTCTACATTTTGATGATTTCCTTTATTTGGCTTGATTGCTAAGAATTACTGTGTTCCTCTGGGAGTGTCATAGTACCTCATTTTTCTTACTTCCAGTATTATTGCACTGATTTCCTTACATCTGGAGTTAACAGTTGCTTTTTCTTATGTTTAAATTTACTTTTGTTGGGGTAGAACTTTTATTTTTCCCTGAAAATGTGTCTATAATGTATGTTGAATAGGGTCATTTGGCTTTGCTTCTAGGTGTGTTCAGTGGCATAGACTCTGTTTGATTTCTTTGGTTATAAACAGCCTTAGTAAGGTGGCTTTCTCAAATGCCACTTGTAATGGCAATGTATATACCAGGCAAGTACCATGTTCAAGGCCTTCTAGGTAGCCAAGGTGATTTGGGCAATGGTGGTAGCAGAGGTCTCATAAAGTTTGTATCCCTCCTGAGTGCTGTATAAGATCAGCAAATGGTCTATGCAAGTCAATCTCCAGGCCAGTAATTAGCACTTGCAAATGAGAGCCAGCTGTGGTGGTGGCAGTAGGGCTTATGCTTGAATTACTTCTTTTTAACCAGTAGAAGTACTTGGGTGTTCCAGGTGACAGGCTTGGCATTGAAACTCTCTGTGGTCCCAGTCTTGTGTTCTGCCTCCAGGGTAGGAGAGGGAGCAAAGCCAGGCAGAGCTAGAATGGACAAGCCTGTACTTGAGCCCCCAGTGTCAGGTGCAAGTGCCAGCATTGATAGGAGCTAGAAGGCAGTTCTCAGACCCATGGAGCAATGCTCCATGGACGAGTAAAGCAACCATTGCTGTGCCAAAGAGATAGCACAGAGAAAGAGGGGAAACATGCACTCCACAGCCTAGCAGGTCATAGTGGGACCTGTATTACTCTCATGCACTTGATCCACCAGTGCTCTCTTCTGTGGCAGAAAATTGGGACAGCCAGCTGGTCACAAACAGTTTGTCTTCAAACTACTACACCACTCCAGGCTATAAAATTTGCTGCTGTGTTGGAACCATGGCTTTAGTGCCAAATCCCTCCTGATTTAGTCCTGAAAAGGCAGGGGGTTGCATCCAACTCTGATGCCCATGACTGGCCTCCATGTCATACTTGCCTCTCAGTTTGGCTGTGGGAGCTTCTTGCCTACTTGAGACTATATCACAAATCCTAATCTCATGACTCTCTAAACCAGTGACTGTCTCCTATGCTGGCTGGCAGGTTACCCTGTGCCTCACTGTGAGTTAGGATAAGGAAGGGGTTTTTATTGGTGCTGGGGTCTGGGAGTGTGCACCAACCACTTCCTGCTGCCATTCGTTTTCACAGTCTTCCAAGTGTTCTCCAAGTCAGAGCCAGGGCTTGGTACAGTCAAGGTTTTCCACCATGGCCTGGATTGTCTGGTTCCCTGTGCAAATATGTATCATGCAGACACACTCTTTTCCTCTTAAACTCCAAGTTTTCCACTGAACCTGCCACACTGGATGCTGCCCACCTTATTTTTCAAACATCTGAAGTTTCTTTCACTTTTATATTGAACTCCGAGGTTCCCTCTTGGATGAAAGTTCACATTATCAATTGCTACACTCTATTTTTCTCTTTCCAAGTGGATGAGATGCAGTAATAAAGCCTCTAATCTACCGAGAAATATATACACAGGCTTATATATGCAGTAGAAAAATGATTTGGCTGTTTGGTCTGGAGCCTGAAATAAAAAATACAAAAGTGATTAAAAGATTCAGTTCTGAGATACTGATATCTCAGGAGGATGTGTTTACAGGAGGAGATGTAAATGTGATGAACTTTGTATTGCACTTTAATGCCCATAGGTGAACATCTATTATGGGTAACCCCCAAAATAACCATGTAGACAGAAATATGTGGCCAGGTGATTCCATCCACAATTGTTATTGGTCACTCTATTATTTGCACAGCGGTTACAAGAACAGAGTAGCAATAATGGCAGGGATAGAAGCAAGAGATGGGTACAATGACATGGTCTCAGTCACAAAGGCTAACCTAGCTTTCTGCTATTGCTGAATTTCCACATTTTCAGAAAAAGAGATCAGTGTTGACTCCAATACACATTTATTCCTCAAAGAGACAAACTATTAACTAATTGACAATTTAAATACATGAATGACTTCTTATTCTGAAAGGGATAAAGATTAATGTTGTTTAATATCTGCACATGTTCCATATATAGGTTTTCATTTCCTGTCCTTAGAGTCTTGATCAGAACATCTATCTGAATACTTACAGAGGCATGATCCACCAATGTAGAATCACACATAAAATTATCTTGGAACAAGATACTCACTCTACACAGAAGGAGCTATAGCAGTGAAAACATGGCTGTAGGATCTACCAAACCTATCATTTAGAGTACAATGTATTACCAGCCTAATAAAGTTATAAAAAAGCTTTTTTAAAATTTTTTGAGTCACGGTTTCACTCTGTCACCTAGGCTGAAATGCAGTGGCACAATCACAGTTCACTGCAGCCTCAACCTCCCAAGCTCAAGCAGTCCTCCCACCTCAGCCTTCCAAGTAGCTAGAACCACAGTCATGTACTACCATGCCTGACTAATTTTTTGTAGAGATGAAGTCTCACTATGTTGTCCAGGCTAGACTAGAACTCCTGGGCTCAAGTGATCCTCCCACCTTAGCTTCCCCAAGTGCTGGGGTTACAGGCATGAGTCACTGCACATAGCCGCAAATCACTTTTTGAATACTTAACAATGTTGTATCTTCCTGAATTCTAGTCTGCAAGAATGTTGTATAAGTTCACAAGATGCATATATACTTTAAATTAATAATCATTATGTGGTACTATGTACCCAATATACAAAATACATTGGTTAAGTATGGGAGGCCAGAGGTTGCTGTCAGCAGAGATTGTGCCACTGCACTCTAGCCTGGGTGACAGAGTGAGACTCTGTCTTAAGGAAAAAAAAAAAAAAAAGAATACATTGGTTCAGAAACCAAGCATATCATAGGAATGGCTCTTCTTATCAATCTTTCCCACCTTCCTATAATAAGCATAATACATTTATGCTTTATTTCTTAAGAAATTTAGACTCTTATACACCAAGAACAGACAAACAGAGAGCCAAATCATGAGTGAACTCCCATTCACAATTGCTTCAAAGAGAATAAAATACCTGGGAATCCAACTTACAAAGGACGTGAAGGACCTCTTCAAGGAGAACTACAGATCACTGCTCAATGAAATAAAAGAGGATACAAACAAATGGAAGAACATTCCATGCTCATGGGTAGGAAGAATCAATATCGTGAAAATGGCCATACTGCCCAAGGTAATTTATAGATTCAATGCCATCCCCATCAAGCTACCAATGACTTTCTTCACAGAATTGGAAAAAACTACTTTAAAGTTCATATGGAACCAAAAAAGAGCCCACATTGCCAAGTCAATCTTAAGCCAAAAGAACAAAGCTAGAGGCATCACACTACCTGACTTCAAACTATACTACAAGGCTGCAGTAAACAAAACAGCATGGTACTGGTACCAAAACAGAGATATAGACCAATGGAACAGAACAGAGCCCTCAGAAATAATGCCTCATATCTACAACCATCTGATCTTTGACAAACCTGACAAAAACAAGAAATGGGGAAAGGATTCCCTATTTAATAAATGGTGCTGGGAAAACTGGCTAGCCATATGGAGAAAGCTGAAACTGCATCCCTTCCTTACATTTAATACAAAAATTAATTCAAGATGGATTAAAGACTTAAACATTAGACCTAAAACCATAAAAACCCTAGAAGAAAACCTAGGCAATACCATTCAGGACATAGGCATGGGCAAGGACTTCATGTCTAACACACCAAAAGCAATGGCAACAAAAGCCAAAATTGACAAATGGGATCTAATTAAACTAAAGAGCTTCTGCACAGCAAAAGAAACTACCATCAGAGTGAACAGGCAACCTACAGAATGAGAGAAAATTTTTGCAATCTACTCATCTGACAAAGGGCTAATATCCAGAATCTACAATGAACTCCAACAAATTTACAAGAATAAAACAACCCCATCAAAAAGTGGGCGAAGGATATGAACGGACACTTCTCAAAAGAAGATATTTATGCAGCCAAAAGACACATGAAAAAATGCTCATCATCACTGGCTATCAGAGAAATGCAAATCAAAACCACAATGAGATACCATCTCACACCAGTTAGAATGGCAATCATTAAAAAGTCAGGAAACAACAGGTGCTGGAGAGGATGTGGAGAAATAGGAACACTTCTACACTGTTGGTGGGACTGTAAACTAGTTCAACCATTGTGGAAGTCAGTGTGGCAATTCCTCAGGGATAGGAATACCATTTGACCCAGCCATCCCATTACTGGGTATATACCCAAAGGATGATAAATCATGCTGCTATAAAGACACATGCACACGTATGTTTATTGTGGCACTATTCACAATAGCAAAGACTTGGAACCAAGCCAAATGTCCAACAATGATAGACTGGATTAAGAAAATGTGGCACATATACACCATGGAAAACTATGCAGCCATAAATAATGATGCGTTCATGTCCTTTTTAGGGACATGGATGAAGCTGGAAACCATCATTCTCAGGAAACTATCGCAAGGACAAAAAAACCAAACACTGCATGTTCTCACTCATAGGTGGGAATTAAACTATGAGAACACATGGACACAGGAAGGGGAACATCACACACTGGGACCTGTTGTTGGGTGGGAGGAGGGGGAAGGATAGCATTTGGAGATATACTTAATGTTAAATGACGAGTTACTGGGTGCAGCACACCAACATGGCACATGTATACATATGTAACTAACCTGCACGTTGTGCACATGTACCCTAAAACTTAAAGTATAATAATAAAAAAATAAGAGAAATTTAGACTCTGTGTGGATAGATCCAGGTTCTTCTGGGAGAAGCTCTTCCAACATGGGATAAAAATCTCAACTTTAAGCTCTACCTGCCACCAAATTACTTTGAGTTCCTCATATCAAGAGAACACTAGGCAAAAAAAAAAAAAGACTCACCATCCCGACAGAGCTAATTGGCACTCATGATCACGAGGAGACAATGCTGGGTTTTTGCAAAGAATGCAGGAAATAAAATGTTTGGCCTCAGGTAGTCTACTTGGGGATATCTTTTATTACTCCCTACCTAATCTTGATAAAAAGTGGCCAGTATGTGCATTGTGTACAGGATTGATGTTTTGGGACACTAACCTTATACTTGGAGTTTTTTTCTAAACCAATCTGCTAACTACAGTCTGACCAGTATGGCCTGAATCTTCCCTTCAGCTTGACTGAAATTTAGACAGGCTTCTTCTTGACTACAGGCCCCTGGCCTCCTTTTTTACAGTATTTACTTTAAAAAACTTAAAATTGCAAATTATTTCTCTGCCCCTGTGAGTGTAAATATTTTCTCAGCTTCTTGCCATTTTTACCACCCAGGAAGTTCTTTCTCAAAAATCTGGGATCCATCTCTTTGAAATGTAATCATCAAGAAAGATAAGACCTCTGTCTCTCAGTTTCTATGAGTAGGTAGGAGCCTAACTTTGATAAAAGACAATTAATATATACAGATAGCCTAATCACATTGACTAGTCTTCCCCCTTAGATCCTCTAATATTTTTGCACTAGCTCACACCAGCATTTGAAAATCTTTTCTTTTCTTTCAGTTGAGTTGAATTTCTCTCCCCTGTGGCAATAGCCTTAACTCCCCTTGCAATCGTTTTGGGTAGTCTTCCTTGCCATTTTTAAAAAGTGTTTGGTGCAATTTTTCTTGGACAAGTCCTGGAGAAGCATATTCTACATGGGTTGAACTTATACTAAAAAGCAAGTGAATGTGAGTGGCACAAGTGGTTGACAGTAATGGATATTGTAGGGCAGCATGTATATCTGCCTTTTCAATAGGCACTTCCTGGTGTTGACTGCTGATTGCTCATAGAGGCACCTGTCTCTGAGACACACCTTCATCCGAATGTAGCTGCCTCCTGTGTCTAATAACTGACCAATGAGAAGTTACATATCCCAGCTTCTTTGTTGTAATTTGGGACAAGTCTGAAGGGCCACTCTAAATCCGGAGCTCCTTTATTGCAATTGTATTATGTTTAAACGTCTCTCTCTGGGTATATACTTCTTTTTTTTCCACTCTCTTACAGGTATTACTCCTAAGGGCACTTCCCAGCAAAACTCTAATATGCAAATTTCTGTCTCAGAGTTTGTTAACAGAGATCACAATTTAAGAAATTCTTCATATGCAGGCATTCTTTAAAGATGTCTATTTTTACTATTTTTACAATGTTAAACTTCACCCCAGCTGTGAACCTGGATTACGTAACTTATTTTCTTTATGGAGGAAACAGTGTTTCATATTAAAAATGCCAACATAACTACTCAAATAGAAGTTTTATTTACTGGGTTATATTTGTCTTCTTAATTTTACATTGACAACAGATTTGACCAATAGTTTTGTTAGTGATAGAATATTTTTATAAAAGCACTGTTACACTTAATATTTATTTAGGTCTTTCCCAGTTTTGTTATCTGCCATGTATATGTTTTTAACATTTTTGAAAACTATAAAATGTAATAATAAGTTATACAGTCTTTATTAATATTCTAGGAAAGGTCGTTTTCCACTGCATATTTTCAAACTACTGATTTTACTAATTCTCATGTTTTGTACATTTTTATTCAAATTGTTTTAATTTTTTATACACTCAGACATCTTATTTGTTATCATGTAACTGTTTGAGAGTGTTTATTTACTTATGCTTGCTTGGCAGCAATGCCAATTTTCTTCTCACTGGGTTGATTTTGTATGAGGTGCTCTACTATAAAAGCAGCTGACAAGCTGTCTTGGTGCTCTGAAATTGCCTAGTCTCATAGCTTTTCTTTTCTGTCTAACATCAGATTATGCATGAAAATTAGTAGTCTTTGTCTCTTCATTGTTTTTGTCTTGGTGATTATTTTTCCTAGAACAGGAAATTTGATGGAATCATTTAGAGTTTAGGAGTATCGTAAATATTTACCTATGTGTTTATTTTCATGTTGCCTGTTATAATATAACCAATGATCCAAAGGACCCTGTGTTTCAAAAATTTTCTATAATAAATCTATCAATGTTCAGGACATTGTTCATAGCAAATACTCCAGATCTTTAACAAATGCATTCTTGGACAGACATGAGCTCTATAAATATTAAAATTTTCTATATTAAATTTATTATAATTTTTAAAAAATACTTGACACTCAATTTTATTACTAAAAATTGTCCTCTGGGGTGACAGCAGTTATTTGTTCTCACCCTCTGCCCAGAATCCCTGGGAGTGTTTCTGTTATTGTGGAGGTAATAGGAGATCTGGGGACAGGGTGGGACATACCATGAAGACTGGGTGGTCACAGCACACACACACGCACACACACACTCTTACACACACACACACACACATGCACACACACACCCTACAACTACAGCTACCAAAATAACCAGCATGGTGTTGGAACATTTCCCCAGTGGAGGCTAGAATTACCCGTGGTGACCTGTGACCTGCTCCCTGAGACAGGGATGGCCAGGCAGGTTGTGGGGGGGAGGCAGGAGGGCATTTCTCCTATTTAAATTGTCTGTAATAAATCTATCAACATGCAGGACACAGTACACAGTAAGTACTCCAGATCATTAACAAATGCTTGCTTGGACAGAAATGAACTCTATAAATATTGGCACAGCACTACAATATATTTTAATCTCTTAACGCACACAATTATACTTAGAACTGTATTTGTGGTTTGGTAAAAATTTATCTGACAATTCTGATGCTACTTAGCGTTCATCAAGGCTTAGAAATCAAAAGCTTGAATATTACATTGAAATACTTTCTAGAGCTCAAACATAAATGCTTAAGAAACAGCTCTGCAAAAACAATCTAATTTCGAATCTAGTTTCTGATAAGACCCATTTTCCGAGAAGCTCTCCTGCTTTGCTAAAATGTATGATTCTTGGCTTACACAAACACCCAAAGAGAGAGAGAGAGCTATAATGGGCACATTTTAGCCTCTGGTTTTCTTTTTCCAGAATCTCACCTGAAGCTCAAATACATTATCAAATAGATTTGGCAACAATAATACTCCAGTGACTGATAGCAAACTCTCTTAATGTCAAAAGTCATTCAATTTTTCTATAAGGAAGAATAAAGCCATACCTAAACATATTAAAATATTATTCACTTTGACAATAGAAGTAGTTCCAAGACATGAACTATTGCTATATTAGAAAGGAGAAGCAATCAGTATTTTTATCACCTAAGAATCTCTATACCACAAAAAAATCCATCATTTCTAATGAAATTGGTAAGTACCTAGGAGGCAAATGTCTTTTTTTATTTCTAGTCTGAAAACTGGTTTAAAAAGAGCAGATGTAGTTAACTCAGATTCCCATTAATGAGAAAAACTTACCTAATAGTGAGTATATTTATCAAATCTTTAAAAAAAATTAAATTTTCATTAAGATTTCAAGGACTATTATTGTTTTATTTTAACTAGATCTGTAGACTATTCTTAATATTAAAACTGGGTATAATAACACATTTACTTTTATTTAAATTATATGGATTATTCAGTAAAAAATATTACTTAGACTTATTTGTCTAAAAGATAGTTATATTTTTGAATTTATATATAGGGTTTTTAAAAATAAATTACAAAGATCACCTTCGATTCCTGCTTACAAATGATTATCTAGTACAATTTATACTTTACTTAGTGTGTAACTGGTTTATCATTAGCCGTGGTATTAATTACAGATCATATTTTTTGGTGAATTTAAATATTCTTTTAACAAAAGCAAATGAAGCCACATGTGTGTAACTTTTTTATTTAAAGATATTTATGGCCGGGCGCGGTGGCTTACACCTGTAATCCCAGCTCTTTGGGAGTTGAAGTGGGCAGATCGCCTGACGTCAAGAGTTCAAGACCAGCCTGGCCAACATGGTGAAACCCCATCTCTACTAAGAATATGAAAATTAGCCTAGCGTGATGGTAGGCACCTGTAATCCCAGCTACTCAGGAAGCTGAGGCAGAAGAATCCCTTGAACTCAGGAGATGGAGGTTTCAGGGAGCCGAGATCGCGGCAATGCACTCCAGCCTAGGCAACAGAGCAAGACTCTACCTCAAAAAAAAAAAAAAAAAAAAGGAAAAGGAAAAGATATTTACTAGAGATTATCTGTAACTATCCCCTTCCATGGTAACTTGGGCACAACTGGAAATTACATTAACACTTTCCGGCTGATAATATCATTAAGGAGTAATTTCCAAAATAAAAATTGTCCCTAAGTATTGTTTTAAACAGTAAAGTTAGTGAAGAGTAAAACTATATATATCATTAAAACAAATTGCATTTAAAATGAATAAAAATGTAACAAGTTATAATTTTTCAGGAAAGTAAATTGGCTACACATTTTTACTTCATAAAGCTAGGCTTTAGTAGCTGTAGTTTTTCTTCATAACACTTATTTCAATTTTAAATTATACATTTATCTGTGTAATTATTTGATTAATGTGATTATTTGATTAGTGGCATTAATCTGTCTCATTAAGGAGATTATTTCTGACAGAAATAATCTGTCTCATTAAGGAGAAAACTTCATGAGATATAAGAGCCTATCCATATTGTTCTCTATTTGTCCTCCAAATTTCTCTTCCTGGCACATGGAATTAATTTATTTATTAAATAAATTAAAATAAATTAATAACAGAATCTGAAAAACTGACTGTCATGAAATTTTTTTTTATATGACCAGGAACTGGACCAATAGAAACAAATACAAAACATAACAAATGACCATATGAGTTTAATGACAATATGATGCACAATTTTATGTGCAACCTTATGCTTTAGGATATTCTGACACTAGACAATTTCAAATATGATGGATAGATAGACAGATGGATATACAAATATTGATATGTTGACATTTCTGGATTTAACTTTTCTAATTTTAGAGGTAAATTTGAAATCAGAATTATCTGGCTTTCTAATCTTTCTATAATAATTACTAGCAATTTATAACAGAAATTTGTATTGTCTCAATTAGATTTTGCTTTATAAACATAATCATTTTTTGTAAGATTTCAAAATGTATTTGATAATACATAGCTAGAAAATAGTGAGGCTGTGGCAAATCTTTTTTTCCCCCACATATTTGATAAGGCTTAAAACATGCAATTGGGGCAAAGTTTGAAGCTATTAAAACTAAAAAAATTATAAAATTGTTATATAAACATAATTGTCCCAGATGACCTCTGAAATGTAACTGTTTTTCAGTCATTAAAAAGTTATATTACATTCCCATAAGAACCAACATTTTATATAATGATATAGTTTACAACTGATATTTTTGAAAACATATATAGATATAATTTACATTACTACATGACTTATGAATTCATTAAGCTAAATTGTAGAGATCAATAGATACAAATTTTCTACTTTTTTTCCCTGAACATATACTACTTTCTTCATTAATTTTTACAGTGTTTTCTAATACATTTATCTGAGATTATAGCATATCTGCATAATGTAATCAAGTTGTACATCATGATGTTATGGATGTATATCAAATTTTTGTTTGATTATCATGCATTTTTATAGATTATTTTTATTTGTTGCATAAGTAATATTAGCACTTAGAAGAGATTTCTTCTCGTAAGTATATGTATTAATCTTTTTGGACCACCATAACTGAATATCATAGACTGGGTGACTTAAACAGCAGAAACTCATTTGTTCTAAGTTCTGGGGGTTAGAAGTCCAATACCAAGCCGCTGGAAAATGTAGTTTCTGGTGAAACTTCCCTTTCTGGCTTGCTGATGACCCCTTCTCGTTGTGTTCTCACGTGGCCTTTCCTTTGGCACACACGTGAAGGGAGGGAGAGAGAGAGAGAGAGAGAGAGAGAGAAAGAGCGAGCTAGAGAGAGACAAAGAGAAAGAGCAAGCTCTGGTTCCTCTTCCTCTCTTATAAAGACTTTGGTATTATTGGATTAGGGCTTCAATCTCAGGACCTCATTTAACCTAATTACCTCCTTAATGGCTCTATCTACAAATATAGTCATGTTGGAGGATAAGGCTTCAAGCTATGAAATTGGAGGGAGAAACAATTCAGTTCATAACAATATGCATTCCCTTTTATCCCCCTATCAGTTGTTTGTAAAGATTTGAAATGTTTTTTTTTTCTTTTGTTTTCTTACTGCTGTTTAGGTTAGGTTTTTGTGGCTGTTTGAGTGTGTAAGCTACAGCCACCTAGGTATAGCCATTGACCTATAAAAAGTATGTACAAAATGTTTTTCATAGTAGACAACAAGCTTACATAACTTTAACTAGTTTGTATATTTTTTTCTAAATATCAAAATATAGTTTAAACGGTTTTTTGCTGATTTCATGACTAATAACTTTTCAATGTGAAAATATGAACACAATCTAACTTTTCATTTAACTAAGCCATTGCTATGGTAATATATCAGAAAATATAATCAACAGCACTTTTAAAGTCATTTCAGCATTTCTCATTAAATGGGATAGTACAATGTATTTCTAAGTCTATTCAGTTATTAATAGATCAACTGCAATTTTTCCTCTGCTGTGAGGCAAATGGCAAAGAGGAATCACAGAGATTTAGCAATATTTCTAGTATGACACAAGATTAAAATATCAATACAACTTCTAACACTGTATTTTCACATTAAATGAAATGCTAAAGTTTCGATTCTTAGATTATCTCCTGCCAGTAATTGTGCCAGATTGCATTCTGATAATTTTCTACCATTGCAAATAAATATTATCAGTTAAAGTTGCTTCAAATTTCAAACAGAGCTATGTGACTATGGTTGTTTACCAGATGTCACAGGATGTCACAATGCCTATCTCTTATAACTCTCTTATTGATATTATGATGTTTATCATTTAAGTCAATATATTATGCTTTCTGGCAGCTGGGCCTGACTTGTGTACCGTTTTTTTTTTTTTTTTTCTGGCTAGACTTTTCTTATGGCAATACAAAAGAAGCATATGTAATTTTACCAGATATTTTATTAATATACTAATCATATATATAAACTATGGAATTATAAAAAAACTTATTTAGTTTTATACTATATTTTATACCACATGCAATCAATCTTTTGATAATGACAGGATTAAAACACAATTAAGTCAAATACTATTATAAAAGTCTTAAAGTTGGAATGGACTTTAAATGTCATTTATTGAAATATTTTATCCCATGTACAATAATGAACACCCAGAGTATGATGTGATGGAATAGATAATGAACTAGAAATCCAGTAACCTGAATTTTAATTTCTTCTCTACAACAGATTAAAAGTAAGAATTTGGGCAAAACTGTTAATCTCATTGAACCTCAGTAACCTCATTTATTATTAGTGTTACCCAGTTTTCTGAGTCTTAGTTATCCACAAATTCTGTGAGCATGATCTCTCTCTGTTCATCCAATCAGTGATGTACTTTTGAAACAGGGCACTGATTCAAGAGTAGTCTGTCTTTCCTTCACTGTTCCAGTCTCTTTACTAAGGATCTACTTTTTTCCTCCTCACCAAGGGCCTCTAATTATCATCACACCTTGGGTTCTGCTTGGGAGGACCTTTTGAGGTCTAAGAGTTATTTGGTACTGAGTCATTTTTAATGTTATATTTTGTGAGAACAGAATTCAGACTAACAATATAGGATGTGTATGCGTATGTGTGCATACCCAAGTTCATATGGTATCAATATCCTCTTATCAATTGGTCATTAATGGGAAAGTGATGTAGATTGTTAACTGCAAGGATTTTATATGTATTAGCTAAGACAATTTTTCAGAAATAAAAATAAATGACATTTTTTCTCAGTGTTTTAATTTTTGGAAACTGAGGCACAGGATATTTATAGTAACTATTAGAACATAAATAATTTTATGCTCCAATTTGGTCAATGGTCACACTGTTTACTAAAGACAGGACCCCGATCCCTTTTAGCTTGCAGGGTTTCTGCTAAGAAATCTGCTATTAATCTGATGGGTTTTTCTTTATAGGTTACCTGACACTTTTGCCTCACAGCTCTTGTTTCCTTCATCTTGACTTTAGGTAACGTGATGACTATGTGCCTAGGTGATCATCTTTTTGTGATGAATTTCCCAGGTGTTCTTTGAGCTTTTTGTGTTTGGATGTCTAGATCTATAGCAAGGCCAGGGAAATTTTCCTGGATTATTCCCTCAAATACACTTTCCACGCTTTTAGATTTCTCTTTTTCCTTAGGAACACCAATTATTCTTAGATCTGGTTGCTTAACATAATCCCAAACTTTTTGGAGGCTTTATTTTTTTAGTTCTTTTTTCTTTGTCTTTGTTGGATTGGGTTTATTTGAAAGCCTTGTCTTCGAGCTCTGAATTTCTTTCTTCTACTTGTTTGATTCTATTGCTGAGACTTTCCAGTGCATTTTGCAATTCTCTAAGTGTGTCTTTCATTTCCATAAGTTGTGATTGTTTTTTATTTATGCTATACATTTCACTGGGGATTTTTTCATTCATATCATGTTTCTTTTTTTTTAAATTTATTTAAGTTGGACTTCATCTTTCTCTGGTGCCTCCTTGATTGGCTTAATAGTTGACCTTCTGAATTCTTTTTCTGGCAATTCAGGGATTCTGTCTTGGTTTTAATCCACTGCTGGTGAGTTAGTGTGATCTTTTAGGGGTGATAAGGACCCTTGTTTTGTCATATTAGCAGAATTGATTTTCTAGTTCCTTCTCATTTGGATAGACTATGTTAGGGAAGATCCGGGACTCAAAGGCTGCAGTTTAGATTGTTTTGTCCCACAGGGTGCTCCCTTGATGTAACGCTCTCCTCTTTCCCCTAGCAAATGGAGCTTCCTGAGGGGTGAACTACAGTGGCTGCTGTTTCTCTTCTGAATCTAGACACCCTGCAGAGCTACTGGACTCCTGGCTGGTATTGGGGAGTGTCTTCTAAGAGTCCTGTGATGTGATTTGTCTTCAGGTCTCTTCTGAGCCATGGATACCAGCACCTGCTCTGGTGGAGACAGCAGGGGAGTGAAGTGGACTCTGCGAAGGTTCTTGGATGTATTTTTGTTAACTGCGCTGGTTTTGTGTTGGTTGACCTCCAGCCAGGAGGTGGCGATTTCAAGAGCACATCAGTTGCAGTAGTATAGGGAGGGTCAGGCAGTGGGCAAGGCCATAGAGCTCCCAAGAGATTATGTTGTTTATCTTCAGCTACCAGGGCAGGTAGAGAAAACCATCAGGTGGGGGCGGGGTTAGGCTTATCTGAGCTCAGACTCTCCTTGAGGAGGGCTTGTTGAGGCTGCTGTGGGAGAAAAGGGTGTAGTTCCCAGGCCAGTGGAGCTATGTCCCCAGGGGTATTAGGGCTGCCTCTGCTGTGTCACACGGGTAACCAGGGAAGGGAGATAAAGCTGGCAGCCGTAGGCCTTATCCAGCTCCCATGCAGCCCATAGCCCAAAAGATTGGTCTCACTCCCACTGTGCCCCCCTCAACAGCAGCAAGTTCACTTCCAGGCAGCCGTTGAGCAGCGCTGAAAAATTGTTCCCAGCTACATGCCTCCCAGCTGAGAAAACAAGCCGACTCACCGTTCCTCTGTTGTCCCACAGAGCCTGCAGTGGCAATCCACCACCTTCAAAGGGTTTGTGTGGTCACAGCTTTCTGGTATGTTCCTGTGGTTGTTGGTGCAAAAGTTCACGATGTGGGTGCCTACACACTGTCGTCTGAGTCAGAGCTGAAAGTTAGTCCTGCCTCCTGTCCGCCATTTTCCTGCACTGTCCCATATTAACTTTTATGGAAGCAGTCTTCCTATAGTCCTTTTTAGCCAATTCAGGTAAAACACAGTTGTTATCTATCTGAAAGAAAATTGTTTTCTTATAATTTACTATTATGCATAACTAAGTATATTTCTCTTAAATAAACTACATTGGAATTAAATTCATGCTTCTATAATGAGATTAATATAAGATTAAATGTATTTCTTAATTAATGGATTAAGAAAATTGTCTAGATTTTCTCTCTTTTTTGGTGGTAAGAGCACCTGAAATCTATTATCTTCGCAAATTTTCAGTATACAGTACATATTAACTATACTTATGCTGTACAATACATACCTAGACTTATTCATACTGCATAACTACAATTAACAGAAGTGATGATTATACAACCTATTTAGGGAAGGTCATTTAGTCAATCTATTTAATGCTTTTATATATGTATATATACACACACAGACACATATACATGAACACATATATATATATTCACACACATATGTGTTTTAGATTTATATATAAACACATAGGTGTATATGTGTGTGTATATATACATCTAAGACTAGATTTATGGGAATAGAGCATATTTAAGATTAATGGAAATAATGCACAGATAATATGAGTTGACATATACTCCATACCCAGTTTCCCTTATGCTTAACAGCTTACCAGAGTGTGATACATTTATCAGAACAAATCAGTCATTATTGATACACCAGTATCATTAACTTAAATCTACACTTTGAGATTGACTTAGTTTTCATGTAATTCATTTTACCTATTCCTGGATCTCAACTAGGTTACTGTGTGACATTTAGTCATCATATGTGGTTAAGTTTCTCTACGCTATGACAATTTCTCAGACATTCATTACTTTTGATGATCTTGACAATTTTGAGGAATACTGGTCAGGTACTTTGTCAAATTCCTCTCAATTGGATTTTTTCTGATGTTTTTCTGATGATTAGAATGGAGTTGTGTATTTTGGGGAGGAACACCACAGACATAAATTGCCATTCTTGTTTCTTCATTACAAGGGTACATACTATCAACTGTTGATGTTACCATTGTTGATGATAACCATGATCACCTACCTGGCTAAGGTAGTGTTTGTCAGGTTTAATACTCTAAGGCTACTTTTTTTCCCTCTCTTCACACTGTACTCCATTTAAGAAGTAACTGTGTGAGGTATACATGTAAGGAATAAGGAGTTATGTTTCATCTTTCCTGATGGGGAGTATTTCTACAGGGTATCTGGAATTCTTCTGCACAGGTATTGGCCTATTTGCCCCATTTATTTATTTATTCAACAATATATTTATATCAGTATGGACTTATGAGTATTTTATAATATGAGTTATTATTTAATACTGCTTTATTATTTTATGTCTCAATTTGTTCTAGCTTTGGCCTCTGGGAGCTCTTTCAGTTGTTTATATATCCCTTCACCTTTGCATGTGTGTGTGTGTGAACATATTACTTCCTTACTTTCTGGAACTACAGAATGTCACAAACTCATATTGCAAATTCCTTTCCCTGAAATTCACCCTTTCTTTAGGAAGACACAGTTCTTTTATTGAAGAGTCATATTCGAATTCGAATTAGAAACCAATGTCTGCACAATTTCAGTGCCCAGATCCTGGTTTCGAATTCCAATTCGAATATGCCTGGGATGTTATTATTTCAGATATCTTAGCTATCTGAGCAAGGAAATAGATGTGTTTATACACAGAGGTATACATATTTCTGTATGTATCTATCTGCAACTGCATTAAGCAATTCATTAGTTCATACTGGTCTCCCCAGCTCCACTGCAGTACCATACAGATCATTCTAGCATTCCTGCCTTGTATATAATACCCCACTCCAACAGTGAGAAACATACGTTTCTCTGCTATTGACTTATTTGTCAAGTTTTCCAAAACAAATGAACAAAATACGTCTGGTAGCATCAGAATTCTGTCCTGTGTAGATAACTACTTTATTTTTTTATTTATTTTTTATTTTATTTTATTTTATTATTATTATACTTTAAGTTTTAGGGTACATGTGCACAATGTGCAGGTTAGTTACATATGTATACATGTGCCATGCTGGTGTGCTGCACCCATTAACTCGTCATTTAGCATTAGGTATAACTCCTAATGCTATCCCTCCCCCTTCCCCCGACCCCACAACAGTCCCCAGAGTGTGATGTTCCACCTCCTGTGTCCATGTGTTCTCATTGTTCAATTCCCACCCGTGAGTGAGAAATATGCGGTGTTTGGTTTTTTGTTCTTGCGATAGTTTACTGAGAATGATGATTTCCAATTTCATCCATGTCCCTACAAATGAAGGAAAAAATGTACATAACTACTTTAAAGCTATAAAACAGTGCATATGTACAGTTTCTATTGCCTTCAGTCATACAGTCTCTCCTCATTTCCAGACTTACTCAGGATTGCACTTTCTCTGCTTAATTCCATTGCTGCGTTATTTGTATGTGGTAATATAGTTAGATTGTTTTGTCAAAGGCTGCATTCCTATTGTTGAGTGTTCAGAGTTCTTTGTACATTTGGGGTACAAGTTCTTCATCCAATGCGTGGTTTGCAAATATTTTCTCTAAGTGAATTATCTGACATTTCTTTCTCTTAACAGTGTCTTTAGCTGTGTTCCACAAATTTGGATAAGTTGCATTTTTATTTTCATTTAGTTCAAATTAATTTTTTAATTTCACTTGAGACTTTTTCTTCAGTCTATGTGTTATTTAGAAGTATAAAGTTTAATTTTCAAATACTTGAGAATATTTCTGATATTGTCATTATACTTTATAAGGAAGCTTTATTATAAAACCATCAAACTAAAATCTGTCTTTACAGCTGAGGCCAAGGTGATTATTCCAAGCTCCTTTCTACCACATGATTTTAGCCAAGGTATATACATTCTCTCATCATTCATTTATATCTTTGAAATGTAATTGAATGGTACAATCTTAAGACATTTTCACAAATTATTAGCAATTATATTTTTACATTTTTTTCTTAATAATTGGTTCCCACTCTGCCTCCAAATCTAATACTCATGATATGCCAAATTACTATGTCTGGCCTTTGCTTGCTTTCTATATCTCCCAACGAAGCTATATAGCTGAACAAGTATAACACAAGCCTCTTTGGTAAAAATGTTGTCACTTTTACTTTCTATTGTTTATAAGAACATCTCAGAGGTTTCTTCAGGGAGAAAGGTAAATGTGTCAACTGTACTAGCTGACCATTCCTATTCAGCATAACAGACCATTTAATTGTACACGATATACTACAGGAGATTTTATTTTTTTAATGATTTTTACCACTAAATGTGAAATAGTAAAAGCAAAAGGAAAGGAAAAGAGGACAAAAAAATTAAATGTAAATTAAAAAATTAAAAGGAAAGAGAAGAGAAAAGGAAATAAATAAAGGAAAAGGTTACATTACACTTTGCCTTCCTGCTTCAATATTTTACGGTCCTATCATAATTTTTAAGTGCTAGGTATCCTTAGGCTTAGGGCAAGATGCAATAAAAAAGAGCAAGATACCTTAAAATTAAAATTGTTTCCATTAAATATTTGCAAGTTTTTTTCACATTTTAAAATTCTGTTTTCTAATTTATTTTAAAAAGATAAATTTTCTATAGGATTATGCTTTGATAAAAACCAAACTGATGAACTAGCTAGACAATAAATATTCAGTCTCTTTAATGTAGTGTAGAGAATATTGGACCTGTATCAAAATGTCTGGCTTAGACTCATGGCATTCCCACTTAACTACAGTCTAATTTTGAATAATTTAGTCAACTTTCTTAGCCCAGGTTCATTATTTGTCAAATTTGAATGACCCTACAAAATCTATGTCATTTTATTTTGAATCCTTACCAAATAACCCTTAAAATAATGTGTGTTAACATACTTTATTCAGTGTGATGTGCTATATAAATGCAACATATCATTAAAACAAAGCCATAATCTCAGCTATGTACATGAACTTATTATGCCCTAATATATTTTTGGTCATAAGCCTACTTTACTTTCAAACATAAATTATAGCTCACACGTAATAGTTTAGACATGAATTTTGTGGTCATTCCAAATATTCATTTTATAAAAATAAACTTTCTACGTGATGACATTTCTTATCAAATATGCACATACTTAAATTAGTTTTATATTTTAATTTAGTAGTAATTGCCAAATCACTTGAAAGATTGAGAAATCTGGCCACTAACTATGCACACAAATCTTTATTGTCCTTCAACGTTCCCGTCGCCTGTGCACCTAAGTGAATTCTTTCATTAATTTATTTAATATGATTTCTGGCAAGTTAATTTTAGATCCTTAGTAATATAATTAATAAGTTGTTTGCTGACTACTTTAAATTATCTTAATCTTTGTTGATTTGAATTATAAATTTATCAGGTGAATTGGAAATTATAACTAAACTTTTGTTATCTTTAGTAGATCTGAACAGATAAAACAGAGTTAAACTTGATGCAACTCTTCTGAGAGTGATAATTATTTTTTATAATAGTAAAAGACACCATCCAATTTAATTACTTTTTACAATTTCATACTTTATCTTATCCAATTATGAAGCTCTCAGAGTCATTCTCTATAAAGTTGGTATAATAATTTCTTATTGTGGTGACTCTTTAAAACAGTGTCTATAGAGAATCTAATACAGTAACTACATAATACATTGTAACAGAGAATGAATACCTCAGCTATTTAGACAACTAAATTGATTAATCTAGATAAATTTTTTTAAAAAATAAAACTCTTCCTGAAGACATTGATTCTAATTTTCTAGTTTTCAATATTTAATACAGAAATATGACTGCTATACTTTACTTTAGTAAAATTATGGCAGCAAGATTTTTGGAACTGTTCAAAAGTTTGGCAAGAATGCAGTAATGTATAAATGACTTAAAAAATTAGCTTTTTCAATAGAAACTACAAAATATAGACTTATAAACATATATGCCATGAATTAATATTACATTTATCCTATAGGGATTTTTCATTTTCCACATTTTTAGTACATACTCAAAAATATATGAAACACATATTTTTATATTACAATGTAAGTGATAATATAAAGCACAAAAATAAAAGCATATTTATATATTCAATTATTTGAGAAAATATATTAAAATATCCTCCTATTCAGTATATATTAGATAGTAAGTTATCTTTAGTCAAACCTGTGTCAAATACAAGAGAGTTATCAGTAACCTTGATAGAGATGTAGAAAGCCACTTGCAAAGTAAAATGATTTCTGTATTTCCTTTTCTGGAAGCTGCAAGTACACCATGTTATCAGTATATAAATGAGCAGTGTGGTCAATAGTACTGTTTATTCCAGATGCATCCTCTACTGTCTGTCACAGCTGTATCTTCCCTGTGGATGGAGTATACTTCTCTGCCTTATAAACATTGGGTTTGTATAGGGAGTTCTTTGTCCATTAGAATGTAAGCATAAGTGACAGCACCATTTCTGAGCACAAGTCTTAAGAGGCTTAGAGAGTTCCACAAATCCTCTTTATCCCCTGCCATCCATTATGAAAAGACCATATCATAAGGATCCATTGACTCTTTAGCATGGGTCAACAAATGAGACAGGTAAAGTCTTGAACACAAACTGTGGTCTGTAGTCTGAAGACAAGGTGAGTTGACCCCACAGGCACCTTAAAGCCTCATAACTCCCAGCCTAGTAAGCAAGAAAGCAATAAGCTTGCTGAAATCCCCTGATTTGAGGGTTGCTAATTATGCAACATTATCACTGCAAAATCTCATATAGATATTATTTTGTAAGTTAAGAACATGACAAGAGAGATGTTTCTTGGAGAATCTGGCTGTTTTAGTGAACTCATACATCAGCATTGTAATAGGAGAGAATCACCATTGATTATAGCAGTAGTTCTCAATGTGACTGCATATTAAAATTAACCAATAAACTAGGGTGATTTAAAATAAATCTGTGTTTCACAACCATCCTCACAAGTTTTGAGTTAATTGGTCTGAATGGCATTAAGGTATTGTTGTTGTTGCTGCAGGTGGTGGTGGTAACTCAGATGCCTTTACTAGTCAAGCAGGATTGGGAATTCCTGGCCTATGATGTGTGCCCTCAGATCTACAGAACTATACATTCATTTTTATTAATGGATGCTGAATTTACTGGTAATTATTTTTATCAGCCAAATTCCTGAGAAATATATATATATATATATAGACCAAAATTAATTTATTAATTTTCAATATAAAAATTGTATACCAATTGGATTAGCTTTATTGCCTTTATGAGCTTTATGGCCAGTCACTTTAATTCTTGTCTTACTGGCCCAGTTGTCACCTACCTGCTTGTCCCAACTCCAAGTAAGTGTACTTTTTGATTTCTCCATTTACACAAATTAAACAATAATCTTCTAATTGAATGTACTATTAATGCAAAATTATCTTGAATGGCTCTTTTTGGTTTCATTGTGAATACGTTAAAGGCCTAAGTGTAATTTATTTTAACTATTTTTCAACTTTTGATGAGAAGGAAAAATAGAAACTCAGGAATTTTGATGCCAGGTGTCTGTCGAATAATTGAAAACTATTGTGGTAAGCATCTAGAGCCATAAAAATGTGTGAGCATCAGAATTCTAGAAAACAAATGTTCCAAAAATAGTGGGAATCTTAGAATTTTCACTTGAATATTACATTCTTAATGAGGAGGCTTACCCTACCCATTTTAGCTAAAATTGTAAGCCTTTTCCTCCTTTTCTCCCTTTCCTTGCTTTATTTTTATAATTAACACATACTTTTCCTCTTCTAACAAACATAATCAAAAACTTTAAATATGCCTTCCCTTTTGGTTTTCATTTGCACCTCAAAAATGTAATGGCTTTACACAGCAACAATCACTTATTATTTCTTATGATACTAAGTGTTGACAAGAAAGTCATTCTTCTCTGTGTAGTCTTGGCTGGAGCTACAATCATGTAGCGGCTCAACCAGCTAAAACATTAAGGTGATTCCTTTGCAAAACTGGCGATTGTTGACAGCCAGTTGGGAGCTCAGCTGAAGCTTTCCAGTAGAGTATCTCCATAGTCTTCTACCTTGACATCTCCTGTTGGATGAGGTTTTGCCCCAGTTGCTGATATCTTATTGGCCCAGTATCAGAAATTAGACAATGTCATTTTCTCCACATTATTTTAATTAAAGCAAGTCACAGGGTGATACGGTTTGTCTGTGTCCCCACCTAAATCTCATCTTGAATTGTAGCTTCCATAATCCCCATGTGTCATGGGAGGAACCTTGTGGGAGATAAATGAATTATGGGGGCAGGTCTTTCCTGTGCTGTTCTCATGATAATGAATAAGTCTCATGACGTCTGATGGTTTTATAAAGGACAGTTCCCCTGCACACACTCTTGCCTACCACCATGTAAGATGTTCCTTTGCTCTTCCTTCGTCTTCCACTGTAATAGTGAGGTCTCCCCAGCCATGTGGCAAATGTGAGTCCATTAAACCTCTTTCCTTTATAAATTACTCAGTCTAAGGTATGTCTTTATTAGCTGAGTGAGAACAAACTAATACACAGGGCCTACTCAGATTCAAAAGACAGAGAATAATATTCATCTGTTTATGAGAGTAGTGGCAGAGAATTTCCAGGAATATTTAATCCATTGCATTTACTGATTATATTTCAATTTTACTAGAATCTAAGCTTTAAGAAAAAATAATCTTGTCTGTTTCATTGACTGTTGCCTTGGAAGAAGGAATAAGAGACGCTTAATGAATACTTTCTTGAATTGATTTTTAACATATACAACTAATCTGAGCATTAGTATTGAAATTACTGTCTGATTTTCAGAGTTATAATAATTCACTCTCACATTTAAGTCCCAAGTAAGGTTACAATTTATATAATATAATCTATGGATAAGAAAATCCATGTGTGGTAGGCAGACTTTGAGAAATTACAGAGAGCCACAGTCTAAAATGAAGTTTTGTCTTTGTATTGTCAATTAAAATAGTATGCAAAAATAAGTTAATTGGGTAAACAAGACTGGAGGAACCCTGGTTAATTTGATCAAGAAAGTAAACAGTTCATGAAACAATAAAAAGTTCTGGAGTCATTGAGAGCATTATTAATGTGCAAGTGTGAACTAAAACTAACTGTAGATTTTCTTAAGCAAGCACATAAAATCTCAAAAAAGAGTTTTAAAACTTGCATTTTTGAAGATTTAAATAAACCAAAAGTGATTATTATTTTTCATTTTTATAAATTGTTATACATTTCCCTGTGATATGTATATAAGCAATAAATATATGATTCTTTGGTTTATGGAGTTATGAAAGTCATCTTCTATAATTGTGTAATGTCTAACTTTTGAGGTGTGTGTTGGTAAATAGCCCAGAATTTAAATAAACACTTAGCATTCATCATCTTAAGAAATAGGATCTTTGATTTATAAATATATTCATAAAGCAAAGCTGCAAAAGTCATGGCTGAGTAATTTAAAAAGGTGTTTGTTCTCTCTTTATTGAATACCATATGCCATATAGACAAAATTCCCATGATTGCATATTTCAATTTTCATGAGAATATAAACAAAGAGAGATAATTAAATGTAATTGATCATTTTATATAACATTACTACCACTTGCCACAAACAATGCTGTGGAAAAAGAGGCAAACTTCTTCCAAAAAATGAGTAGATACATACAATTCATATATAAAGGCAAAAATGACATTTCCAATTTTTTTAAATAAGGAAACTGTACTACTACACTGTGAAGCAGTATGGTGTTATTTTTTTTTTAACTTTTAACTTGGGGGGTACATGTATAGGTTTGTTACACAGGTAAACATGTGTCATGGGGGATTTTGTGCAGCCTATTTCCTTACCCAGGTATTAAGCTTGGTACTCATTAGCTATTTCTCCTAATCTTTTCCCTCATCCCACCCTCCACCCTTCAACAGGCCCCAGTGAGTGTGTTGTTCCCCTCTATGTGTCTGTGTGTTCTTATCACATAGTTCCCACTTATAAGGAGGAAAGTGCGGTATCTGGCTTTCTGTTACTGCATTAGTTTGCTGAGGATAATGGCCTACAGCTCCACCCATGTCCCTTCAAAGAACATAATCTCATTTTTATTTTATGGCTGCGAAGGAAGGCTTATATACTGTTGGTGGAAGTGTAAATCAGTTCAACCATTGTGGAAAACAGTGTGGTGATTCCTCAAAGACCTCAAGACAGAAATACTATTTGACCTAACAATTCCATTACTGGGTATATACCAAAGGAATATAAATCATTCTATTATAAAGACACATGGATGCGTACATTCACTGCAGCACTATTCACAATAGCAAAGACATGGAATCAACCTAAATGCCCATTATAATAGACTGTGTATTAGTTCCTTCTAATGCTGCTATGAATAAATACTCACAACTGGGTACTTTCTAAGGTAAAGAAGTTTAATTGATTCACTGTTCTGCAGGGCTGTGGAGGTCTCAGAAAACTTACAATCATGTCAGAAGGAGAAGCAAACATGTCTTTCTTCACATGGTGGCAGGAAGGAGCAGAATGAGAGCCAAGCAAAGGGGGAAGCCCCTTAAAAATACCATCACCTCTCGTGACAACTTACTCACTATCTTGAGAACAGCATGGGAAAACCACACCCATGATTCAATTACCTCCCACCAGGTCCCTCCCACCACACGTGGGAATTATGGGAACTACAATTCAATATGAGACTTGGGTGAGGCACAGCCAAACCATATAAGACTGTATAAAGAAAATGTAGTACATATACACTGCAGAACATTATGCAGCCATAAAAAGGGACGTTTCCAATTTTTAATGCTTCATGCTTACATATATGCAAATATTACTCAACAAATATCCAATATGTTGCATCTAAGGAAACTGCAAAGAATAGCAGTAGGTAATTGTATTAGTTTGTTTTCACAGTGCTATAAAGAACTACCTGAGACTGGTTAACTTATGAAGAAAAGAGGTTTAATTTATTCACAGTTCTGCAAGGATGGGGAGGCCTCAGGAAACTTAAAATCATGGCAGAAAGTGAAGGAGAAGCAAGACATGTCTCACATGGTGACAGGAGAGAGAGATTGAGGAGGGTAGTGCCAAACTTTTAAACCATCAGCTCTTCTGAGAACTCACTCACTAACATGAGAACAGAATAAGGGAAATCAACCCCTATGATCCAATCACCTCCCACCAGGTCCCTCCCCTGATATGTGCAGATTAAAATTCCACATGAAATTTAGTTGGGGACACAGAGCTAAACCATATCAGTAATTGTTTAGAAAAAAATTAACATTTGCTTTATTTTGCTTTTTGTCTTGGTGCATTGGAGTATGTGTATATATGTGTGTGTGCATATATATACATATGTATTTATGTGTATGCTTATATTCAAATATATTTACATACAAACTAATCTAGTCAGAGATCCATCATATGAATACACACCTACCTAATAATACTTAATGTAAATAATCTTGAAAATATAGTTATTTTCCTTTTGGTCATAATAAATGTTTAGATCAGAGGTCATTTGATGACCTTTGTATTTTTAGAAATGTTATACCAAAATCACACTATTTTATTTTATTTGATGATATCTGTAATATAAAAGGATAATAGATTTCATCAGAAACCACCTAATGGTCCAAGTATTCAATTGTTCTTGTAAGTTATATCCTTTATATCATCAATCACAGTGTTCAAAAACATGGGTTTGTTATACTAAAAATAAAACTTATCCTACCTATGAGTTCATATATTTTATAGACATTCTCCAATTTTTAATTGCTAAAGAATTTCCTGCAGTTAATTTTTTAATTCTCAGTTATATTTATGAAAACCCTCTATACTTATTTCTTTATCTTAATAAATAAATGTACCATTAGAGAATCACTAGTCCTAAAAATACATTTATGTGAAACAATTAATGAAAATTACAATAAATGAAAAACCATTTTGTTCTCTTTACAATAATTTTTTTAAACATAGCAAAATAATTCAAAGTACTTTGGGATATTGAGAAAGATGAAGATGTGAAGTCAACAGCGAAAACTATCTAAACCATAATGAAATAAGTACTTTCAGGATAAGGACAGACATGATTTACATATTTAAAAAAATATATATATGATTTAGTTAAAAGCTGAATACCTATTCTGTTCAGGATTGAAATGGGAATTATTTAGGGTACCAGAGATATTTTTAAAATGTATTTTGTGGCCGGGCACAGTGGCTCAAGCCTATAATCCCAGCACTTTGGGAGGCCAAGGCGGGTGGATCACGAGGTCAGGAGATCCAGACCATCCTGGCTAACACGGTGAAACCCCGTCTCTGCTAAAAATACAAAAAAATTAGTCGGGTGTCATGGTGGGCGCCTGTAGTTCCAGCTACTTGGGAGGCTGAGGCAGGAGAATGGCGTGAACCCAGGAGGTGGAGCTTGCAGTGAGCCAAGATCATGCCACTGCACTCCAGCCTGGGCAACAGAGCGAGACTCCATCTCAAAAAAAAAAAAAAGTATTTTGTGTTCAATAAGGTTAAGATCTAAATTTGTCAAAAAAATGTTATTTTTAAGATGCAGATAATGTGAATATTACAAAATGTAACTTTATTAACTTTGAAAAAAGCAACATTTGCATTTTTGTGCATGCAACTTTAGTATTTGTCTCTAGTACCATAAATATTCACTGAGCATCTACAGTATGAGGGGCAGTTTCATTCTCTTATGCCAGTCACCAGATATGCAAGTAGGGTGCATGACAGACACACTCCCAATCTCTTACGACTTAGAGTTCAATAAGATCTGCACAAATATATAAGCAATTAGAGTGACATGGCAGCTCAGAGGATGGATACCCAAGTCAGAGTGGACAGAAGAATTCGTGGTGACTTCCTAGAAGGATGCCTAAATTGAATTTTCAAGAATGAGGAGAATTAGGTAGATAAAGCCTCCAAAGTGGAAGATACCATTATATGTCCATGGGGCTGGACTGTTGCATGAGAAGAGTGGAGAAAAGAGAGAAGAACGTGAAGTTATTGAACCATGAAGGACTTTGCAATTTGTGCTAAAAGGAGTTTATATACTGATATGGTTTGACTCTGTGTCCCCACTCAAATCTCATATCGTAACTCCCATAATTCCCACGTATTGTGGGAGGGACCTGGTGGAAGATAATTGAATCATGGGGGTAGGTCTTTCCCATGTTGTTCTTGTGATAGTGAATAAGTCTCAGAAGATCTGAGGGTTTGATCAAGGGAAACCCATTTTGCTTGGCTCTCATTCTCTCTTTTTGCCTGCTGCCATCCATGTAAGACATGACTTGCTCTTCCTTGCCTTCAGCCATGATTGTGAGGCTTCACCAGCCATGTGAAACTTTTAGTCCATTAACCCTCTTTCTTTTGTAAATTGCTCAGTCTCAGGTATGTCTTTATCAGCAGCATGAAAATGGATTAATACACATACTTAATCCAGAAATCCATGGGAAGCCATTTGTATTTTTAAGCAAGAGATGGAGGTATTGAACCTCATTTTTAATTAAGTTACCCTGTGGTATGGAAAGTCAATCAAAAGAGTTCAGTACTTGAAACTATTGTACTATTACAGGCCAGAGATGATAATGGCCTGAACTAGGCAAGTAACAATGGGTATGAAAAGATATAGATTTATTTAAGAACAGTTCAATGCATGCAACTACTAGACTTATTAGTATATTCAAATATATCTTCTGTATATACTATTTATAATTTATTAAAATATTCATAGGAAATTAGACATGTGGCCATATAGAGCAAGCATAACTTATTTCATATATAAGAACTAATCAAAAATTATTTTTATATTTTTACCTGCTAGATGAGCCTTACTGAGATTATAATTAGCCACTTTTCACAGTTACTTAAAGATAAAAAAATCTGAAAAAATTTAAATGTTATAGCTAAGTACAAATATAATTATAGTAGAAGCTGTTATTTTCTGTTAATAAGCATGTATTTATTACCAGCTGAGAAAGTCTCCTCAGCTTTACTTAGAGAAGTCAATGATATCTCTGTTGAGATAAAAATTAAAGCTTAAAAGTGTCACTGCTTATATGATTGATCTAGTATTATAAGTAAAATGAATCAAAGTGGAAAATAAAAATCTTTGGAAGTTTAATATATAAACTAATATGCTACTTGTCCTCCCCCTCCATCTGGTGATTTCTTCATGGATTTAGCTCTTTTAAGTACTTTTATTTTAGCAACATAAGGAAGAATATGAAAATGCCATATTTTCCTTAAAAGATAAATAAGAAAGTAATGTCATTTTGCCTCTGAAATCTGTAAAAATTGTGTTATCATCACACCATATTAAACTCTGCAGTTTCTCAATCAGATTTCTGTAAAATATCTTATCTACATGCCTAAAAGTATGCATTTTCTTTAATCTGTTTCATTCCTTTATGCATAAACTTACTTATCTAACCTTTCTATAGGTATAATAGTGGGCAAAGAAGATACACATTTCTTCTTGTCTCTTGTGGTTTCTTCTGACAAGGAGAAAGTAGATCCTGAGGATAGGGATTCTTAAGAAGTGAATTTTCTCTTCTTCCAACTCATTCACAGTTTATATATATGGTTTTCCCTGGTGAATTTTCAAAATAATGTACTTTTGCTGAGATCCTGGTGAATTTAATTTCTTTTACTATTTTTATATTTGTCAATTCTATTGTTATATTTTACCTAGAATTATAAAGAGATTTTTGTTTTCCACTGAATCATGAATAAATTGTTTCCATGTATCTACACTTAGGCTGAGTTATATTGAGCCATAGTATAGCATCCGTGGGTTTCCAGTGATGAGACAGTGCATAAAGATGTGAAGCATTATGTCCGAATAGACTATTCTGCAATCACAGTAAAAGTGTCTTCTGTAAAATGCAAAATATACCCTATCATGCATCTGCATCAGCTTCATGAAGGAGAAAGTTAGATGATAGTCTAGTTATTTGTATGAATATGTTATAATTTCTATTTTATGGTCAAGAAATAAAAGAACAATTTTTTAACAGCTTCCCTGGGCACTCATAGGCATTTGGCTTATTTACAACAAAGACAGAGAAAAGTAGAAAAGTTGACTAATATTAAAAAGTATAATGAGAAAACTATTTTAACAAGCTTAATTGGATGATAAGCTCCTAGTAAGAGTGAATCTATTTACTTTTTTATTTAAAATTTTTTGTTGTATTTATTTTCATTTCTGTATAAAATTTTACAATTATGCAATTTATCTTGCTAAATATCCCAATATAGAAACTATTTATTATTAAAACCATTGGAGTCTCTGAATGCAAGCTATATATGTGTACATATTTTTAAATATCTCTATTTGAAGGTATTCTTCTGTCTTATTGACATACAACCAATGGATGAAATGATCACTTGGGAAAACTAGATCATCTTGCATTCAGTCTGTATCTTAAAATACAATTTTTTTTCTGAAGAATATAACTTCTTAAAATGAAAAAGAGTAAGATAATAACTTTTATTTTTTGAACCAGCACATATAACATGTAACTACATAACTTAGACTTACTTTTCGCTAATCACTCCAAAATGCATTAAGAAATAATGTGTGGCAACTGAATTTCCCAATGAGATGTATCAGATAGACAAGTGAGGTAGGAAAAGCTGACGATTTAAACTAGGGGTTCCTAGGTTCCAATTCTGAAACTCTCAGAATTCTGAATGATTCTACCCTCACTATCAGTGAGACTGTGTATAAGTCTTTTATAAGTCCCTCAAGATTCCTGCTTGTAAGTCTATTTCTCAGGTGTTAAAATTAGGGAAATCATGTGTGGGATGGTTTTTTTTGAATTAAATTAATGCTTTTAAATGAAGCATCTGACTTGGCTTCTGGCACAAAAATATATTAAGTCGTCTTTTCTGGATTGGAAATCCCCTAGAATAAAAACAACTTTTCTCAGTCATTTGATTTATCAGTAAATTAAATTATACATGAATAGTCAATTATAATTTTATGTCTTTGAATTAAAAACATGATTTTTCTGTATAGATCTATTAGCTACAAAATATTTTCTTCAACAATTGTATTTTTAGCCATAAGATACATTTAATTTTTGAAAGACTATTAAAAGTCCAGGCATGATAAAGGCCAAGAAAGACACTGTAAAGATTATGTTAAATCCTAATACGTGATAAAAATAAATCAGTATAAATCATAAATTATATGTAATCTCACAAAGTTTAAATTTTCTCAATAATAATTTTTTGATATATCACATTTTATTTCCTAAAAGATAAAAACCCATTACTTATCCTGAAATTCAGGAATATTCATCACTTGTTCAACCTATTTTTATTATTATTATTATTATTGAAACGGAGTCTCACTCTGTCACTCAGGCTGGAGTGCAGTGGCATGATCTAAGCTCACTGCAACCTCCAGCTGCAGGGTTCAAGTGATTTTCCTGCCTTAGCCTCCTGAGTAGCTGGGATTATAGGTGCCCACCACCATGCCCAGCTAATTTTTGTATTTTTAGTAGAGAGGGGGTTTCACCATGTTGGCCAGGCTAGTCTTGAACTCCTGACCTCAGGTGATCCACCCGCCTCAGCCTCCCAAAATGCTGGGATTACAGGTGTGAGCCACTGTGCTCAGCCCAACCTACTTTTATTATTTTATCATTCAATGTTTCAATCCTAATACCTGTTCTCTTGTTCAGTATCACTATAACTAATGGACATTTCTGTGGCTTTGGCCTGTTTTGCCTATGTACCTTTGGAACCTTGTTCACATGCTCCCTGTGAGTGATGTTCCCAATGTCTTTCAAGACTGTGGTGGTTTTAAAACATGGCCCCAGATATGTTGGTACTCTTCCCATTGACAAGTGAGAATTATATCCCCTCCCATAGTACATAATCAGCCTTGTGACTGCTGTCAAATCAATTAAGTTCAGCAAATGTGATTCTGTGATTTCCAAAGTTTGTCATGAAAAGTCATGCCACTTCTAACTGATTCTCTTGAACCCGTTGCTGGTGGCAAGCTCTCTATTGAGATGCTCTTTTTTAGACCTACATACCTAGATGTGAGAAGTCCAGTGCCTGTGGAGGAGCCCTGTGTCAGAGTTCAGGTCAACAATTCCAGATGAACAAGCCTTTCAAGCCATTCCGTTCCATGACATGTGGGTGAAGAGGTCTCCAGATGACTGCAGTTCCTGGCAAAAGGACTTAGCCAAGCCTTTGTACTCCTAGCCAATGCTTTAGACACTGAGGAGTGCAGACAAGCTAAATCTCTGGACCACTTTCTCAAGATATGGGCATCTACTCTCTTGGGGGATAGTCCTCTCTAAATATTTTCATGTTTCTGTGTGGTCCAGGTCTTGTGAGCAAAGGGCACTGAAACAATGTTTACATAATAAGCAGCTTTGGAAGCTATAGAAAGTCTCAAACACTAGAAACTCCCTGAGAGATATAAAGGCGTAATGCCTTTCTTTCTCCTTCCTGGAAAAATTTGTTTATATTCCAGGCCCAGGGACCCCCTCTCATCCCCATCTTACCTCAAGGATATGTGCTTAACAAATAATCTCTGTTTTTCAGTTGGGAAGATAGGCAGGTGTATCAGCAGACCTTACGTAAGTTCTGATTCTTATAATTTTGGAGTTTCTTCCTTGTGACACAAACCTAGTTCATATGGAGGTAACATCTGGCTCTCATTATATTGCTCGGTGAGGACTGGGGCTCTGGCTGCTGCATTTTACAATGAATAAAGTATCTATTTCTGTGATCCAGAAAGCCTATTTCTCTGTGTCTCTTGGCAACACACACACACGCGCACACACACACACACACACACACACACACACACACACACACGCAGGGGCAGGCTTGTTTGCAAATAGGTGTAGTGAGTATGAGAAATTTGGGGGCTGATGAAGAAGAAAATATATGACCATTAAGTGACAATAGCACAATGAACTTTCTTTGGGTGGCACTTTGGCAGGTTTGTGTGGGAAGTGGTGAGCTCCCTCAGGATGAGACCTTCAAAAGATACACCACAGGGGCCACTATCTTGAAAGAGAGGAAGGCAAAACCACTCCTGGGAATAAGGAAAACCAGAGAAGGGACTTACAAGTCTACATGATGTGTCTCTGCAGCATGATGAGGAGTTCCTACATCAGAGAACTTTGAAGGGCAGCAACATTTTGGGGTTATTTATAGCACTGGGGTTTATCTTATGTATGGTGATATGGTTTGGCTGTGCTCCCACCAAAATCTCATTTTGAATTGTAGCTCATGTCCTGGGAGGGACCAAGTGGGAGGTAATTGAATCATGGTGGTGGGTTTCCCCATGGTGTTCTTGTGATAATGGATAAGTCTCGCGAGATCTGATGGCTTTATAAAGGGAAATTCCCCTGCACACACTCTCTTGCCTGCTGCCATATAAGATGTGCCTTTGTGCCCCCTTCACCTTCCATCATGATTGTGAAGCCTCGCCAGCTGTGTGGAACTGTGAGTCCATGAAACCTCTTTTTCTTTATAAATTACCCAGTCTTGGGTATTTCTTCATAGCAGTATGAAAATGGACTAATACATATGGCTAGTAGGTCTTGGGGACAGTTTCACCGGATATGAAAAGTAGACCCGTTCAAAATGCTAAAGATCTGCTTACTTGGACTATATTTTAAAAAATTGTTTGTGGCTCACACCTGTAATCCCAGCATTTTGGGAGGCTCAGGTGGGCAGATCGCTTGAGCTCAGGAGTTCAAGACCAGCCTGGGCAACATGGTGAGACCCCATCTCTACCAAAAAAATATGAAAATTAATTGGACGTTGTGGCACGTGCTTATAATCCCAGCTACTTGGGAGACTGAGGTGGGAGGATTGCTTGAGCTTGGGAGGTAGAGGTAGCAGTGAGCTGTGATCATGCCACAGCACTCTAGCCTGGACAACAGAGTGAGACACTGTTTCAAAAAAAAAATTGTTTGTGAAAACAATTGAGTTTGGCACTGGTAGGCTTTTGACCTAATGGGTCCCAGCCTGCTGTGAAGAAGTAATCATAGGGATAATCAATGTACAAGGATCATCTTTGGCTTATTAATATCACAGTTGGGTAAGACCTCAGATCCTTCATAGTTTCTAACTGAACATACTCTTTAATCAAATCTGGGTGAAGATGTGGCTGCTTTGACAGATAATAGGAGAAGTGGTGTTATATGGCTTCTGATACTATAAAAGGCCACACAGCTTGTCTCCTGGTCTCTGGGAAAGCTTGTTCTGCAGACTCTCCTGCTCAGGATCTCTCTCAGAAACCAGACACTAGACGGTAAGAAGCTCACATCAAATGGAGAAGTCAATGTAGGCACTGTGAATGACTCTAAGCAGCAACATGTGAGTGAAGAAGGCCTCACTACTGCTGAATGACACTAAGCAGCAGCATGTGAATAAAGAAACCCCAGATGATCTATCCTTGGCTATATGAATTTTCCAAGAAGGGGCCCCTTATCTCATGTAGTATGGAACAGAGACAAGGCATCGGCACTGCACCTTGTCTGAATTCTTGCTTCACAGAATCTGTGAGCATCATAAAATGGTTGTTTTGTTCATCCACCAGCCTTGAGGTGGTATGTTATGCAGCAATAGATGACTGGAAAAAAATAAAGATTAAATCCTATCTCTCTCAAAACCTTTGCATAAGAATTCCCTCCACATGGGTTTTCCTTGATTTTTAAACCTCTAAAGCATCTAAATGTAATTTCAACAACCATTGTCCATTGCTGTCATTGCATTTTATGTGTGCAAATGCCAAATATTTCTATTTATATGTTCTTAGAAGGCAGACCATATCAAAGAGTTTATTTCATTTCACTGTATTAATACTAAATAATCGTAACTGTAATAGGTTAATTCAAATGAAAGAATTCAATAAACCATTGAAAATACTACATGGGAAATGGAGTTAGAAAGATAAGAGTATACATAAAAATGTGACCTAAATTAACCATTAGTAATTGAGCAAGTCATTGCATTATATAATACTATATATTGATGGCATAAATGCAGTTCATTAAAACACATCAGCAGTAAATAACTAATACAGAAGAATGAATTAATGCTGAAATGATTTTAAATATTGTTTCCTTTTCATGGTACATTTTCCATTATAGGGTTTGAAATTATATCTAGTTAGATTTTGAAAACACAATTATTTAAAAAGAATGCTGTGTTTCACAGCCACATATTTAAACTCCAAATTTATCTTTTTAATTTTACTAGTATATATATAAATGTGGAAAATATTCTAATGCTTAAATTATTTGTTACTTGATTTGCACTTAAGCACTATTTTTATTCTTTATCAAAAATTTTGAAATGTAGAGATTTAATGATGACAAACGGTAACACTACTAATTTTTAGAAAAAATAGTCTAATCATTGGTGAAATATTTCAATGTACTAGCAGTGTTTAGGAAATAGAATGATTTTATTAGCTCTCTATTATTTTGCAATAGACTCCTTTTGCATCCACTCTAATATTTTGTTTTGCTTTGATTTGTTACTTTCCTCTGTGTCTACTTGAACTCTGAAATTGTCTTCTATTTGGAAAATTAAAGAAAAAAGTATTCATTGGCCTATTTAAATAAATCTCCTTTGAACTCACGTTATATTAAATGGTGGCTCTTTTAAATTGGCCATCCCTTTGAATTCAAAAGGGAGTACAGATAAATTAAGCCTTTTTCATTTAGACTCTATTGACCTGATTCTACTATAATGCATTTTTGTAAACATACATCTGTCGTTTATCATAAAAGACTAAAAGTATATTATAATTAGGAATCTGCTAGTAATTTATTTGCTCCTTAACCACCTGCTTCATACAGGACCATATTTTCCCATGATATAATATTATTTTATTATAAAAATAAAGTCTATATGAAAGAACATTATCTTAGGTTTCGAAAAGCATTTTGGTTTTAGTGTGATACATATTTTCAATAAGCGCTTTTGTATGACATTGGTAGTTACCTAGCAAGTAGAGACTATTGCTTTTCTAATGAGTGTTTTAATTATATGACAAAATGACTATCTTGACCAGTTGGAAAGGTCACTTATTATTCTTATTCCTGATAATTACACAGTCTTTCAAAAACTGTTTTCTCAACTTTTCTTCATTGAAAAATTATTTTATTTATCATAAACAAGTGTTAATAATTTTATTATTTTTAATGAGTAGAATCTATTGTTAAGTTAAAACTCAGATGTAAATGATTATTTTTAAAGGACTTGTCTCATAGATATAATCAACATTACTTACGGAGTTTAGTTTATCTTTAAGACTTAATGCTAAATGACCTACTAGTTAGATTGAGCACACACTTAGGATACCAATAAATAAAAGGATAAAAAAGAAGGGGAAAATCATTGTTCAGAGGTGAAACAGTTTAAAAATTTTATATCACGAGAGTATTGTTTATATGCACTGGTTAAAACCTATAAAAAGTAAACCTGTCACTTTAAAAATTCCAACTGATACAATATCTGCATCATTTACTTATTGCTTGTCTGACAGGGACAATTTTGGAGTTCGCTCTTTTTTTTTTTTTTTTCAAGACAGAGTCTCGCTCTGTCGCCCAGGCTGGAGTGCCCCTGGCACAATCTCAGCTTACTGCAACCTCCACATCCTGGGTTCAAGTGATTCTTCTGCCTCAGCCTCCCAAGTAGCTGGAACTATGGCATGTGCCACCACACCCAGCTAGTTTTTGTATTTTTAGTAGCGATGGGGCTTCACCATATTGGCCAGGCTGGTCTCAAACTCATGACCTCATGATCCACCCACCTAGGCCTCCCAAAGTTCTGGGATTACAGGCATGAGTCACCGCACCCGGCCTGAAGTTCTCTTTTAAAGAAAGTTGAAATACATTGAAAAGAGACATTACATAAATCAAAGGTTTATAACCTTAGAATTTAGGAATTCAAACAATTAAAAAAATAGTAAATTTAGATTATATTATTTTCTACCTGGATCTGTAATTTGACATGTGGAAGTGAGTGTGAAGACCAGAAAGTTTTACTGATAAGTGATAAGAGAAAAGTACTAATTACCATAGATAAAAATGTGAGACATCATATGAGAAGGATTGTGTCAATTTTTGAAAGTTGCTGCTCTTGATGAAAATGGCCCATCTGGATATTGAAATTTATACAATTAATACAATCCACTGATCTTTTCCAATTTCAACACTTTACTTTAGCCTATATTTATTTGGGTGTATATTTTTTACTTTTATCCACTTTTATCATATCTGTGTTTTCATGTGCCTACCACTATAGCCAAGATACTGAACAGTTTCATCACCAAAAAGATACTTTATGTTTCCCTTTTATGACCATGACCACCTCCCTCACGCCCCTGGCCATGTCTTTAACCCCTGAGTAATCACTATTCTCTTCTCCACTTCTAAAATTTTGTCAGCAGCTCATGCCTGTAATACTAGCACTTTGGGAGGTTGAGGCAGGAGGATTCCCTAGAGTTTTACCCAAGTTGTTGCCTGTATGAACAGTTTGTTCTTTTTATTGTGGAGTTGTGTTCCACGGTATCTCTGTACCAAAATTTCTTTAACCACTTACCTTTTATGGGTTATCTGGGCTGATTCCAGTTTGGGGCTATTATAAATAATAATAATATATTCTATAAATATGTACAAATTTTTGTGCAAACACAAGTTTTCATTTCTTGGGGTTAATAAATTCCAAGGGATGTAATTATTGAGTCATATGGTAGTTACATGTTTAGTTTCATAAGAAACTGCCAAACTGATATCCACAATGGCAGTACCATTTTGCATTCCCACTGGCAGTGTATGAGTGATCCCATTTTTTCACATCCTTGCCAGAAGTCGGTATTGTTGGTTTTGTTTTTCTTTCTAGCCAATCAGATAAGTGTGTGGACATTTTTTGTTTATAAGATGGTCTCCTTTGTAAAGCGGTGGAACTAAAAACCAAGACATATATATTTCATGTTAATATGTCTAGTGCTTATCGTACTGTGAAAAATAAGCAATTCAAAATCTAAACTGTTAGAACTCCTAATTATTTCGAGCCTTAAAGGAATATGATTATGGGGCCTGAGTCACATGATAGGCAGCTGTAACCTAGGCAGCTGTAACCTTTCTTCCTCTGATTATAGATTAGCCTTCTTCCTTACCTACATTACTTTCTAAAATGTTGCAAATGACTAAAGGGCACCAGGGAAGACTCCTTCCCTCTTCACTGTTGATCCTCATTATAGATTAACTTCCCTCTTACTTTTCTCTCACAAAGACTTCATGACTATCACATTGTCTTAAGATAGAATGTTAAATACACTCTTTAAAAATGAAAAAAAAAGCCATTAAAAAAAACAAGCTGTAAGGAAAGGAAACAAATGGCAACTAAAATGTAACTCATAACATTATAGCCTCATATAAAAAATTTTATAATCTTACTAAACTTTGTTTTCTGACTATATAAGCAAAAACTTGTCATTTAACTTTAGAGTGCTGCCCACGTTTATCTGGAGTCTTTGTCTCCCGGATGACCATGTCCAGCTTTTTGCTTGAATAAACTCTTTAAATTGGATTCTGATCCTGTTGATTACTTTAGGCTAAAAATATCATCTGGCATAGAATAGGTACACAATAAATACTTGTTGAATGAATAAATAAATAATATGACTTTTTCTTATGAATAATGTTCTGTTGGGATTAGTCTTTCTTCTATGTTCTTTAAATAGCAAGAATTTAAAATACCCTGTTACATCCAGGTATGTGAATTAGTCTTTGTGTACAGCAACATAAAATTGTTACAGTGAAATTTTCTTATATTTGAAGAATTATCTTTATATGAAAAATTAGACAAAAATGTTTCTTGTTCATTCACTCATTTAATAAATATTTATTAATCAATAATCTGTGCCAAGGACCATTCTTGGCCCTGAGAATGACACATTCAAGAATAAAAATCCCCATTTTCATAGAAATATCTTGGTGGCAGTCATAAAATTAGCAAGGTTTGTGTATATATACACACACACATACATAAAATGCATGTGAATATAAATATATATTTTATAAAATTTAAATAAATTATCTATACATATATTCATATGTATGTATTTGTAGAAAATTTTACATACTAGTAAGTGGTAAGTAGAGAAATTAAATGGGAAAGGAATATATTCTTTAGGAATACATTCAGCTGGAAGTAGCAGAAACATTTGACAAGAGTGGATTAAAATATAAATTTCCTCAAGTTAGTTATTGGTGGAATTACTAAAAGTTCAAGATGCCATCTCTTATGGCTTTACAATTCTCTTAGCATTCTAGTAGTGGTCAAAGGTTACCATTTTACCTCCTCAGGTCAGAATTATGTGCAGAAAAAAGAGGAATTAGTAGCTGTATCAGAAAAGCTAAATGGTTCAAGAATGCCACAGATGAATTCTATTTTCACAGCTTTGGCTACAGCAAGTTTAAATGGCTCTGAGTAAAAACAGAAGTCTTTGTTTCTCCTCAAAGGAAATTACTGAATTACTACCACCACCCCTACTGCCACCATCGCCACTTCTAAAGTATATATTGAGCACTTAGGATGTACTGCACTGATTGTAATAAAAAAATTTCACCCACAATGGATTGTATTCAGAAAGATTAATGAAGGACTTAGAACAAGTAAATGACTAATCCTAGATTACTTCATTCCAGTCTGCCACCAGTGGGCCTCCAGAACCTCAGAGGCTGTTCTCCAGTTTGTATGTAAGAATCAGGGTTAAAATGTATGCTCTCCCTCTAGAAAAGCTAATTTCATAAAACTTGAATCTGAAAAAAGCCATAATATAAAATGAACTAGGGCACTGCAAAGTCACATTGGACTCTGCTATACATGGGGAAAAGAGCCCTCAATTTTGTGAAAACACTGATATTTGGGGGTTAGTTCGTGTAACAGTTAGCTTACTTGTGAATGATAACGTTACCTATTCGATAGAGTTGTGAGAATTACATATGTTAATAATCATACTTAGAAGAGGTATGCAACACATGCCAGACTCTATATATGCATTTAGTTTTTTACAAAGTCAAAGTAAAAACATTAAATGTTTCCTAATTAAATGTATTATGTTCTTTCCAAAACCTGTTTTTCTTGGCATCTGTATTTCATGTTAATTGTATCATCAATTTTAGTTCTAACTGATTTCTTACATACTCTTCTTACCTACCTTACCCTCAAATTCCTAGAACTTTATCAATGTCAAGGATTACCAGTCTTGCCACCACCGGGGTTATGTAATTTATTTGCAGGTGGCGGTGGTGGGGCCTGTCTTATGCATCATACAATGTTTAGCAGCATCCTTGACTTTTACCCAATAGATGTCACTAGAAGCTTCCCAGTGTGACAACTCAAATGTCCTCTGAGGTAAAACATCTCATGTTGAAAGCCAGTGGCCCAGAGTGAGGAGAAACTGAGAAACACCTGTTGTTTTTTTTTTTTTTTCTTAATGTATTTCACACAGCACACTGTTGCCTATAACGGAAGCTGCTCTAGTTAATTTAAACAAAAATATATTTACTGCAATGTATGTATAATTGTTGGAAGGTGGTTCAGTACCCCAGAAAAGATTCTTGAAACAATGCAGCAAAACTTGTCCACTAGGGATTTGGTATCTCTCATTATCTGAAAATTGGTAAGTCAAATCACTGGCCAAAGTGCTGGGTCAAGGCCATTCCATCTCAGCCTTGATTCATGATAGCAAAGTAGCTAATCCATGTTATGCCTCTCACAGCCACAAAACCAGAAATAATACATTAGGATCTCTTGTACAATATCACTATGGAGAAAAAAAATAAGCTATCTCCACATGTGGGCTTACCAGCAGAAGAGAAAATGTCTTACTCTATCCCATTTCAAACCTTCAAATTTATACGGCTACTTTTGCTTAGGGTAAGTTAGGTCAAAGTTGGAACTGAAATAAGTGAGTATGGGAAATGTAGTCTTTAGCTTTATAAACTCAAATATGAAGGAGTACATGTTACAATAGCGGTGTAATAGAATAGAATGATCCACTTGGCGGTATCTGCCTGCCAATCTATTATAATAACTCATAATAATTCCTTACCTTTACAATCTGACTCTAACCTATATTCTCAGGCTTTTAGATACACTTTTTCATTTATAAGACCTATATTCTAGTAAGACTTCCTTTTAGCTACTCTGCACACTCACCAAGTTCCTCCAAATACCTACTTTTTTGTGATTTTGTTCTTGATTTTATGTTTTTTCTGTTACTTTCTTCTGCTTAGGCTCTACTAATCAACTTAAGAAAGCTTATTTTTGAGACTACAGATTAAATGCCACCTCATTCATAATTTCATATTTACTGGCCCTACCAGGAAGTATTATATTATTTCAAGTTGCACAGATTGTTTACACTTTCATTAGTAAAATTATCATGTATGCATTTCTCATGCATATCTTATCTTCTTTATTACAGTGTAAATTTACTAAAAGGGGTGCTCATGTAGAAAATTTCAGTGAATAAATTTATAAAAAAGAACAACTGGCTATTTGGGACAGGTATTAACTTTGTCTAATATATTAAACTACTGATGACACATGCTAATGAACACTATAATAGTAATAATCTTTGAGCAGAACGTTTAAAGCAATGGGAGCCACTATTATTTAGATCATGACTACTAAAATAAAACAATTATCTGGAAAAGTATTAATGAAATAAATAGTTTTTTACTATTTAAGTAAAAATGTATTTCTTAAATATTAAAAATAATAATAATTTTTCAAATATTTGCCTACTACCAACAGGTCATTATGAGTTATTCAATGTGGAACTTAACTAACTTACCCTTCTTGTCATAACATAAATTACTCTTACCTGGTGTATCAAACTAACTCATGTTCCAATATTATATATATATTCCAAAAGAGTTAGTTATTATACTCCTACTGTGAGTAATAGAAGTAAATAAAATAGGTCCAACCAAATGAGGATAAATAGAGGCTATTTCTTTAGTCCCTCTATAGCAAGTGATAAGCCAGCATCACTTGAGTTTTGCACAAACTTATAGGTAGGCAGAGGAATGGGAAAGCTTTACAGCGAAAAAAGGGGAAGGCTTCATTCAGTATGTACTGATTGGAGGTTGTTGCCGTGGGAGAAAAATGCATGTTAGGCTTTCTCTGGTTTATTCTGGGTTGAAAATGAGGGTAAAACACAGGAAATTCAGCAGCTGTTGACCAAGTCTTGATTGTTCTAGGGACATTGTGATAAAGGCTGTGATTTGACTTTCTGGCCTGATTACTGTAGCATAGTGGTTTGACCTCCTGAGCCTCTCAATCAGATTTCCGTTGTATATCGTCTGACTATTGTCTATTTGTATATTCAGTCTCTTGCTGCCATAATTACACACTCCAATATCTGGTTGTCATTCTTCCTTTCTTATTTTCCACTTTACCACTTTTATTTCCTTATTTCAACCAAAATATATTAATGGAGCACCTAGCATATGAATGACACTGTGCCAGATGATGGCTACATAACAACGACTATCACTTCATAGAGCTTATAGGTCACACAATTCATGTGCAGGATTTTTGCTAGCAGAGGAAGGGCTGTACTCAGATTTAATCTTATAACTATGGGTTACAGATACAACTGGTATAGCCAAATGAAAGGCATTGGTTAAAGGGGGAGCCCTTCCAACAGATAGCAACCTATTTGAAGGCCTGCAGTGAGAAAAATACTTTGTTCATTGGAGTAAATGCTAGATCATTAGTACAGATAGAGCACTGTGGCTTAAAATGAGGGTGTGAAGTAGGGCCAGGTTACATTTGTGAAGAATTTTAAAAACTACCTGTATAAAACAGAGGCAAAGCTTAGGAAAGAGCTCTCATTAAAATTGTGTTTGACTAAGTTTCTCACTAACTACAGTGAAAAATAATAAGCTACAGTCGACTATGCAGGATTAATTCTCTTTCTCAAATTCATGCGGCAAAGACCTTTTCAGATAAAGTTAAAAACTTGAACCAGGCATGTAAGATGACAAAAGCAACAACAACAGCAATAACCAAAAAAAAAAAAAAAACAAACATTTTTTTTCCCACAGATAATGCTAAATATGTGTCCCTGGGTTCTTCCCAAAATTAATCTACTGAATAATTCTAGTCTTGATTATACCCATATTTTCCATCAAACTCATGCCATCAAACATAGACAACCCTAGGAGCTCCTAGGGCCCAAAAGAGTAAGCAAATATGATACTGTTGAATAAAGTACACTTAGACATTTACACAGTCAGTATTGTAGGAAACAGTCTTACATTGAACTGTAATCATAGCAAGAAGTACCAATCATTCAACAGCTAAATCCTCATTCTGTCTACTGGAGGCAGGCCACATCAGCTCTATAAGTATGCTTTTTGCAGCCTGATTTTGACTATAAATGTTAGTACCTAGGATGTAGGTAGAATAGTTTTTTGTTTTTTATTTTGCTAATTAGTGAAAACCCATACATGACCAAATAGGAAAACAGAAAAAGAATATGACCAGTTATATTATCAAGGTCAATGCAACCACCAATAAAACGCTGGGCAGCAATTAAAAAGAATTAGGTAGGCATATTTAAAAATTATGAAAGAGGAATTGTTGTTAAATGGCATTATATTGTAAGGATATTAAAGTTGTATTTGCATTCTATACTGTCAGAAGTCTTAGTTTGTGCATACGTGACTTTTGTAATTAAAAACTGTATTATGAAAAAAATGCCATGTATAAGAGGTTTTTGAAATTATGAAAAGTACATTCAGAATGATCCCTTTTGTGTTAAAATGAATATATATGTAAACATGTAGATAGGTGGCTGTAAATATGTATATTTATAAATATAGATGCGCATGAATATATTCATGTATTTATGAATGTTTTTATAAATAAATATATAGACCAAGCATGGTGGCTCACGCCTGTAATCCCAGAACTTTGGGAGGCTGAGGAGGGCAGATCACCTGGGGTCAGGAGTTGGAGACCAGCCTGGACAACCATGGACAACATGATAAAACCCCATCTCTACTAAAAATAAAAGATTAGCCAGGTGTGGTGGCACGTGCCTGTAATCCCAGTTACTCGGGAAGCTGAGGCAGGAGAATAGCTTGAATCCGGGAGGCAGAGGTTGCAGTGAGCAGAGATCAGGCCACTGTACTTCAGCCTGGGCAACAGAATGAGCCTCCATCTCAAAAAAAAGTAAATAAATAAATAAATAAATAAATGTATGTAAATAGATTAATAGAGCTATAAATATATCTGCTTATGTGTGTATTAAACTATATCTGAGAAAATGCACCACAAACTGAGACTATGGTTATACATGCAGAGTCAAAGTATGAAATAGAGATTAAGGAAATTGGGAAAGGTTGCTTCAATCTTTCAATTATTTACATTCTGTATTATTTTAATAATATTTAACTATGAACAATAATGTACTACAATCTAAAATAAACAAATGTGTTAAATGAACACATGAAGGACAGACATAATAGATTATGTAAAATTTCTAAGGAGAAAGAAAATACACAGAATCAGTAATATATTATAATAAGAATCAGTAATACATTATAATAATAATGTACTATAATCTAAAATAAACAAATGTGTTAAATGAACATATGAAGGACAGACATAACTGATTATGTAAAATTTCTAAGGAGAAAGAAAATATACAGAATCAGTAATATAATAAGAATAAAAATCAGTAATACATTATAATAAGCACTGGGGCATAAAAAAGTAAAGGATGAATCCATAGTGAGATATTAAAGATTGTTGTTCTGTAGAGTTTCAAGTGTGTTTGTTAATTTTCTAATAGAAACCATTGTCTTAAGATACAATGATCATTCTGCATACTGTAAAGGGGAATGTTTTCCCTGTAGTCTCTTCACAGGTATGTTTTGTTTATCTATTTCATTTTAAAATATATCGTCTAAAACATTCATACATAAGATGTAGTTGAAATAATTCAGTTAGTGTTCGACCTTGAACATATGAATAAAACCAAGGTATGCTGTCTCTATTTGTACACAAGAAAAGAGCTGATCATATTTTAGTTATTCTAAGAAAAATAATGCCATGTAAATTCCCTTTCTTTCTATAGAAAACTACTGTATATGGATTTCTTTGACATCTTACTATAAGCTCTAGTTGCTTTTGTAGTGAAAAACCAGCAATTTATTTGAAAGGTCATTCAGGACTAGGCACAATAATTTCAGCTGATCAAATCAATTATTTATACAATGAACTACAGTATGGTTCCCTCTAGAAATTACCTTATAGCTACTCACTCCCACTGAACTCTAAGAAAAGTGACATTTTGAAATACAAAGCTTGTTCTCTTCACTGAGTTTAATACGTATCGGTATCTCTCTGTGGCTCTTTTCTCTATTGAATAGCTGTCAGTCAGCCAGAGAGGGCCCATTCCCTAAGCACACTGCACAGTGGGTTTTCTTGACATGATGGAAAATTTTCCAGTTGGCAAAAGCAAAGACTGAGAGAGGTAAAGCTTTGGACTCAGCATGAAAGGTAATAGAGCTATTAACCAAATACCAAATTCAGAGATGCTGGTACTGCACGATCAGACAACTAAGACAGCTAAGAAGGAGGTTTAATGTTCTATGGGGCACAAGTTTAGCAGAGTGCTTGGCCGATTAAAGAATGCAATAGAGACAGAAACATCTTTGAATTAGAGATTTTGGTATGGAATTAGTGTTATTTTAAATTAATAATATTTAGTACTTAGAGCTTTTCACATAAAGTGAACAGGATAGTATCCAGACACTGGTATAATTACGTAAATAAATCACTATCTTACATTCTAGCTAGAATAAAATAATTACATCTACAATCCTTATATTCTATTATATTCTCTGTTGTTATATTTATTTATTATAACAAGACTAATATTCTAATAATGACTACAATGACAGTGTTCAGGAGATAGTTTTACTTCTGTGTTTAACTTTTTATGCTTAGGTGAAATTGCAGATTGCTTCAAAACCTTGTTTTTTTATAATAATTTTAAAAGAATATGCTTATATAATCATTGGAGCCCTATACTGTGTTAAAGCACACACACACACATATATATATATAATCAATTCCTGTGCAAAAAAGCAATAATCTCAAAACTTAGCAGTCAGAAACAAACCTTTATTATTGTAGCATTTCTGTAAGTCAGGAATCTTGGCACAGCTGATGTGGGTCCTCTGGCTCAGGGTCTCTCATGAGGCTATTATCAAGTGTTGACTTGGATTGTAGTCATGTCAAGGCTCAACTGGATTTGGATGGGCTTCTAATATTTCACATGGCAGTTAGCAGGATTTAGTTTCTCGTTGGCTGTTGAACTGTGGACCTCAGTTTCTTGTTAACTAGTAGCTGGAGGCCATCTTCATTTCCCTAATTGCCTTCCTTCAGAATGTGGTTAGGGAGAACTAGGAAGAAGTCACATTTTCCTTGTAACCTAATCTTAGGGTGACATTCTACTACTTTTGCAGTACTATTTGTCATAAGTCACTAAGCACAGTTTATACACAAGGGCATGAATACCAGGAGGTGAGAATAATTGTGAGCCATCTTAGAAGCTACTGTAAAGATTCAGCAACTGTAGATTGGCTTCTAGTAAAATTAGGAATTTAAGATAGGGAGAAAATGTGCATATTATTAGATAAACGCAATTGGGTAAAAACTGGAAGAAATTAAGTATCAGATTCTTACCTTACTTTTTAAAAACCTTTTTCCAAATTTGGTTTCTTTTAAAATTATGAATATAAAATTGTGAGGTTGAATCTGTAAAGGGCTTTACTCATTTATAGGGAGTGGTTCATTTTGTAAAGTTCTCTGAAACAATTTAAAAAAGAAAATCTTTCAACCAGCCCATGCAGGTTAACACAAAATATGTTCTTCAAAATGAAATTGTCTTGAATTCCGACAAGTCGTCCCTAGAGCTTTGAAGAGATCACGTGTCCAGCCAGTTCAATTTATAAACAACAAAATGTAGTGACAGGCATATCGTGAATAAACATGAGCACCATCCACAACTCACTGTCAAATACATGACATCAGACTAACATATGCACCCACTTGTATCTGTTCACATCACTATTTCGAGGCAAAATAATGTAAGCAAACAAGCAAAAACATTGTAGGCCAATAAATAACAGAAACAAAAGCAACACAAGCTTATGCACTTGAAAATGTACAATTCTCTGAAGTAAAGCTGGTTTTATTTGTATTTCGTTCAAACTATTTCAAATAAAACTTTTAGTAAACTTTCTTGGCAAATAAAAGTCTATAATATATTATGTCCAAGAGTTGATTCTTTGAGGTTGATTCAGCACCAAGGAGCATATCTTTATGATATTTTATTAGCTAGTTAATATTTCTAGTGGTGAACTCTTCACAGTGGCAAAAATTAATAAAAGAGCCAACAGCTTGTTTCAATTACCATTATTTCTAACAGGTCTCCCTACTTTCATCCTTGTTCATCTCTAGTCCTAGTCAACATAGCAATTGAAATGATCATATTACAATTTGTCAGTAACGTGTTTTGTTTTGTTTTTCCCTTGGAGAAGCCATTTGTAAAAATCCTACAATGGCTACCATCTCACTCTAAGGAAAAACACGTCATTGAAGGAATCACAAGAACGTGCAATATCCACTCTCTGCTCTCTGTCCAATATCTTTCTACTCTGCTCCACTTTTTGCATTTATTTCAGACACAGTGGCCTGTTCAAATTCTCTGGAATTTAGCCTGGATATTTTCTCTTGCCTCAGGCCATTGTTCTTGTTTATTGTGCCAGGATCCTTTCTTTCTAGAAATTCATATGGCTCCCTTCGTCATCTACATTAAGCACTTAATTAAATATCTCCTCAGTGGGGTCTTGCCAGTCCATCCTATTTAAAACTGAACGCTACCTCCCAATTTCTATCCTGATTTCTGCTTTGTTTTTCTCCATAAGTTATCACCAGTTAATATGCCATGTCATTGTTTATTTTGTTGATTTTCTATCTTACCACACGTCCACTGCAACATAAGCATTATAAAGACAGAGCATTCTGCCCCTTTGCCTCATTGATAAGTAAAACACTAGAATAGTGCCTGATACCAAATAGGTTCTCAATGAATATTGAGAATAAATATTGGAATGAATAAAGAGCTTGACCATTACATGTGTATTAATTTGGGGAAATGACTTTCAGTGTTTGAAATGTGCCTGTGTGTGTCTGTGTATTTTCTTTAACCAAAACATAAATGTATCATTGGTATCTTCTCAATGTAATAACTATTTGATAAGAATATATAAGTATAGGTATTTTGGATATGTTTATATTAATAGCACTCAGGGCCATTGGAAATATTTCCTCCCCCTAATACTTAGCCTAAACTCTCTAATTCTAATATATTTGTGTGTATGTCCTTGTCAGTTTCTAACTCAAAAACATAACTATACTCCCTCTCCTTTACCATCTCCTGAAAAGCTCCCCCATCAGCTAACACTAGTAGAACTCTTCCCCACAAGTACAAGATGCAAATGTTCTACTCATATCAACATAATCTTTTAGGGAATCCAGAAAAACAATCTTAATTTAAAAATTAAAGGGAAAGTATAAAATTCAAAGTTTCAAAGTAAGTAATCCTTTATTTTATGTGCAATTAGGAAAAAAGTCAAATTATTATTTAAAAATTTCAAAGCAAGAAACTGAAGTGGTCCTTTGAAAGTTTGTTAGTACAACCCCCTGCCTTTAAAAAGGTTAAGACCTCAATCACTCAGGGTAACTCCTACCTTCGTAAGCATTCTTCTAATTAAATGACAGAGTGATAGAGTACCTGCTCTGTCATTAATGAACCACTTTACATTTGCCAGTTAACATTGTACTTCTTTGGTAGTCCTTTCTTGGAAGATAATAACATACAATGTCTTCTTTCTAACAGGCTCTTAGTTTTCTAATTCATTTTTCTGTCTTAAAATGGATATGATCTTTAGGGTGGACGAAAAGAAGTTTTTTCTTTTTTTATTTCACAAATATTCCCAATTTCCAGAGAGCGCAAAATGGTAAAAAGAAAAAAAATGTAATAGTTGTTTTTAATTCATTGTGTAGATATGAGATATCTTAGTTCTAGGATAAATATATGAGAATAGTTAAAATGTTGGGTTTTAAAGTCAGATGAACCTGGGTTCAATCTTTAGCTGACACTAATTCTGTGCTTTAAAAAAATTTATTTAACCCCTTGACTGCTTAGTTTTCTTATTTGAAAAACTGAGAGTATAATATATCAATTAAATAATATTAAGAATATAACAGTATCAAGTAAATAGTATAAGGTAAATAATTTTGACATGGTAATTAATGAGTATACTATTAGTGCATTTCAGAAAGCTATTCTTGAGTCAATTAACAGTAATGCATTATTATTATTACGCTATAGTAGACACAGTGTCTTTGTTCAAGCTCTAAACTAAAAAAAAAAATTTAGATACTTTTCATGAGTGAGCATTATTTATTCAGAATTTCCTTTAAAACACAACAGAATGGGCAGGGTTAGGCTCCTGATGCAGGTATCATTTGACCAGAAGACCTAAATAAAGTGAGAGAGCAAAACATGAAATTGTCTTAGAGAAAAACGTTCCACACAGAGAAAAGAGGAAGAGTATAACCTTGAATTAATCCAAGTAATCAACTAATAAAGTAAACACAATGATAACTGATTCCAGAGACTTTATTAGGAACAAGATTTTTTTTGATAATTTTAACAGCTTTCTTCAGATATAATTGAAATACAATTAACTGCATGTATTTATAGTATACAATTTGATAGGTTTTGACACATGTATATATCCACTAAATCATTACCACAAATGAAGAAAATGTTCACAACCAATACCTACAAGTTTCATAGTGCTGCTTCATCTTCCTTTGTTAACTCTTCTTTATGCCTCTCCTTACCCTAATCCCCAGAGGCAATACAAATCAGCTTTGTGTCAGTATGCATGAGTTTACATTTTAAATAATTCTACATAAATTAAATAATACTGTATATTCCCTGTCATTGTCTGGTTTCTCACTTGGAATAGTTTATTTTGAGATATTTCCAAGTTATCACATGTATCAGTAGTTAACTTATTTTGATTGCTGAGTAGTATTACACTATATGGATATACCACACTTTATCCATTTATCCTCTGATAGACATTAGGACAGTTTTCAGTTTTGGTTTTGTTTTTAAGATATGAGGTCTCACTGTCTCACCCAAGCTGGGGTACAGTGGTGTCATCACAGCTCACTACATCCTTAAACTCCTGGGCTCAAGGGATCCTCCTGCCTTGGCTTCCCGAGTAGCTAGTACTACAGGTATGCTCCACCACACCAGTTAATTTTTTAAACTGCTTTGTAGAGACGACAATCTCACCATCTTGCTCAGGCAGGTCTCAAACTCCTGAACTCAAGAGACTCTCTCAACTTGGCCTTCTAAAGTGATAGGAAGACAGGTGTGAACCATCAGGCATGGCCCATTTTCAGTAATGGCTATTACAAATAAAGCTTTTATGAATATTCATGTGCATTTTGATGAAAATACATTTTTTTCTCTTAGCTAAGGCCCTAGCATGGGATTGGCTAGATCATATGAGACATATATATTTAACTTTTTAAGAATCTGACAAGTGACTTTTTAATATGTTCTAATAATTTACATTCACAACAGTAGAGTATGAGAGTTTCATTTTCCACACACCTCATCAACACTTAATTTGTTCAATAATTTTAAATTTAACATTTCCAATTGGAGTAAAGTGATATTTCATTTAGATATTAATTTGTATTTCCCTAATGATTAGTGACTTGTGTCATGTTTGTGTCTACATATTTTCTATTCTTTTGTTTCTTTCTGATGGAGTGTATATTCACATTTTTTTCCCCTTTTTAATTGCAGGTATCTTGTATATGTCCTGGGGATGCACTCCATTAAACCAGATGACCCTTAACACATTTTTTTCTGAGTAATCATTCTATCCCTGGATTTGGCTGAGATAGCTAACTAGATCCTTGAGTCACATATAGAATCTACTCAAGGAGCCCTCTGTGTTACTAAGAATCTGAACTTTTGATCCTTTTGAGAAGGTTTTGTAGACATGCCCTTGACTGTCTCTCCAGAGCAAATTTTCCTGACAGTGAATCTCCTAATTTTAGAGACTTCTGTAATCCAAACATTTCCCATATACTGGTTTCTTTTTGCTACCAATTCTTCCCTCAATCAGTTTCATTCTTTTCACATTTCATGAGAAGCAGCAAGGACAATCCAGACTGCACCTTCAACATTTTGCCTGGAAATATCCTCAGCTAAATATCGAAGTACATTGTTTGTAAGTTTGTTTTTTACATGACTGCAGGACATCATTCAGTTCTGTTTTCTGTCACTATATAACAAGGATCCCCATTTCTACAGTTACCATGAACATATTTGTCATTTCCATATGAGCCCTCATTAGCAGTATCTTCAATGTAAGTGTTTCTTATGATATAGTCTGCTTATTATGACTTAGTTTCCAAGAAGATACATGCATATTATCTTCTATGATCCTGACATTCAAGTCTTCAATAGCATAGTCATTAACATGCATATTTCTAAATTCTATTTGAGGTAATGTCGCTCCTTTTTTTTCTATCATGCTCCTAAAAATTCTTCCAGTGTCTGCACACCACCCAATTAAAAAGTCACTTCTGTGTCTTTAGTTATTTGTTAAAGCAGCACTTCCTGGTACTAAACTTTATATTCATTTTCCATTGCTAATGAAATTGCCACAAATTGAATAAGTGTAAACAATACAAATTTATTTTTTTGCAGTTCTGAGGGTCAAAAGTTTTCAATGAGTCTCACTGGGGTAAAATTAAGAAGTCATCAGAATCATTTATTTAGGGGATAATCCATTTATTTAATTTTTTCAGCTTCTAGGAGCTGCTCACATTCATTGGCTTGTAGAACCCTTCTTTCCCCAAAGGCAACAAAATGGACATTCAAGTCTTTATCTCATTGCATCCTTCTAATACTTACTCTTCTTCTGCTTCTCTCTTCCACATTTAAGCACCCTTGTGATTACATTGGACCACCCAAATAACTTATGGTACTATTCTTATTTTAAGGTCAGCTGATTAGCAACCTTAATTTCAGGTGTGACTTTACTTATCTATTTATGAGATGGAGTTTTGCTCTCATTGCCCAGGCTGGAGTGCAGTGGCATGATCTCTGCTCAATGAAAATAGAACCACTGTATGATTCCACATTCCCACATGTGAGTACACATTTAAAGGATATAAAATCACTATCTCAAAGGGATACTTACACTCCCATGTTTATAGACCATTTATTTTTAATATGATTATTGATATGGTTAGATTTAACGCTGCCATGTTTCTATTCTTATTTTTCTGTTTTTTTTTTCTTTTTCCTCTTTTTGCTGCTTTATTTTTAATTTTATTTCTTCTATTGACTTATTAGCTATAAGTCTGTTTTGTTATTATAGTGGTTGGTCTCAGACTTATAATAAATACATATTATTGCCTACCTTCAGGTGGTATTATACCACTCTACTTGTAATACAAGAAGCTTCCATTAGTAGTATACTTTTAGTTTTTCATTCCTGAGTGATTATATATGTGTGTGTGTGTGTGTGTGTGTGTGTGTGTATATGTATGTGTGTATATATGTATCCCACAACACTTGTTACTATTTCTGTTTAAGTAGTCAGTTAACATTTAGATAGATTTTAATAACAAAATCATATATTTACGCATGTAATCACCATTGTATTTATCATTCCATTGTGTGGTTTTATATTTCCATTTGATGTCATTTTACTTCTATTTGATAATTTCATTTTCACATTGTTTTGTATTATAGATCTTCTCATGATGATCTGTCAGCTTATATACATCTGTGAAACTCCTTATTTCGTGTTCAGTTTTGAAATGCTTGTTTGCTGGGTGTAGAATTACAGGTTACTTTAAATGTTGTTTCTATAAACTAAAAATGAAATTCTAAGGCCCTTAGCCACCTGAATGGACCCCATCTCAGCCAAGGGCGTTCCAAAGTTAAACTGAATAACTACTTAAAGCCATGATGGGAAGGAGAGGTCAACCCGAAGGAAGTATCAAAATATTTTTTATTTAAAGTCTATTCTATGATTTTAAATTCCTCAAGCCTAGCTACTTTAAACATATTGCCAATTTTCTGTCCACCATAGGCATTTCTGGTCACCATTATCTGACATTTTCATACTGCTCCAACATGATCCTTTGCATGCATGGTACTGTATGCTCTATAATAACATACTTGATGCAGTTTGAACATACTAGCCTGTTTCAGGCTTTATCTTCTGAGATGGTTTGGCTCTGTGTCCCCGCCCAAATCTCATCTCAAATTGTAATCTCCACGTGTTGAGGGAGGGACCTGGTGGGAGGTGATTGGATCATTGAGGAGGTTTCCCCCATGCTGTTCTCGTGATAAAGTTCTCATGAGAGCTGATCGTTTGATAAGTGTGTGGTTCTTCCTCCTCCATGCTCTCTTTCTCCTGCCACCATGTAAGAAGTGCTTTGCTTCCTCTTCTTTTTCCTGAGGCCGCCCCAACCATGTGGAACTGTGAGTCAATTAAATGTTTTTTTTGTTTATAAATTACCCAGTCTCAGGTAGTATCTTTATATCAGTGTGAGAGTGGACTGATACATCTTCCTTTAGTACTTATATTTCTTCAGTGATGCTTCCATCACCATGAATATAAAGATTATCCTATAACCTTGATTTCCTGATTACATAGCACATATTCATCCTCTAGGAAATCGTTTCTATGGTCCCTTCTATTTGAATTGACCATGGCTTCCATTGTTTTTCCACTTTTCTATAAATTTGGTTAACTCTGATAAAACTTTATTTGCCTGATGTGCTATTATGTTATAAACTCCTTCAAGACAGTAGTGATATCTGTTCCATTTTGTTCTCCAAAACAAAGCAAATTACCTCATACAAAATAGGATTCAAAACATGCTTTAAATGAACAAATTGTTGACTGGATGAGTGAACAAAAACTAAATATGCTCATTCCCAATCTGATAATTTGTAAAGTACAATAATCCATATTGGTACACTCTAGGATTAAGGTGACAAGCAAGGATTTTGGTGAATAAATAGAAGTAGATAATATTTTTTTCATATGCTGTACTTAGGAAAATCAATTAATTGAGGTTCAATTTATATAATATTTATGATACATGACCTTAGTGAGGCCAAAATTGACCTTTGCCCTGATGAGAGCTTTTAATAAAAAATTAACAATACATACATGTTTTTATACAATATTTTAAAAAGAATTGTTATACACTTAAGAATAATCTTTTACATATTTTTTATTTTGTGTAAACGGTGGTGAGTTTTTAAAAATAGTTTTAATACTTCAACTCATAGATTTGTGTCCTGCTTATTGTATATAAACACAATGAATTTGTTAAATGTATAAATAATCAGTGAAAATGGAAAGAGTAGAACCTTTTTTTGGAAGCTTTGTGTAAGTAGTATGTTTTCTAAACAAATATTTTTAGGGACCAAGGGAAATCTTCCCCATTGCTCTCTGAAGGTTTGCTGAAAAATCACCTGACAAAAGGCAGATTAATAGGAAAAAGGACATACAAATTAATTAATGTGCAAAACTACCTGAGACTGGGTAATTTATGAAGAAAAGAGGTTTAATTGACTTACAGTTATGCAGGCTGAACAGGAAGCATGGCTGGGGAGGCCTCAGTAAACTACAATCATGGTGGAAGGTGAAGGGGAAGCTAGGCATGTTTTCTCATGGTGGCAGGAGAGACAGACAGTAAAGGGGGAAGTGTCAAACACTTTCAAACCATCAGATCTTGTGAGAACTCATTCACTATCATGAGAACAGCCTGGGGGAAGCTGTCTGAATAATCCAATCACCTCCCACTAGGTTTTTCTCTCGACACATGGGGATTACAATTCGAGATGCGTTTTGGGTGGGGACACAGAGCCAAACCTTATCAACAAGGAACTACAGATTGATTACCACCTCCCCCACCAATTACAGAAGCTATATATGATCTTGAGGCTACAGAAGGAAATTAAGCTTGGGAGCATGGCAAAAATTAGTTATGGTGGTACATCAGGTTATAGCATCAAGAAAGGTTATGGAGGGGAGAGAAGAAGAAGCCTGGCTAGCAAATGTGGTCTTGTTATGTAGATGAAACCTCAGAGTTAGGAGTACTCAAAGAGAGTAGATGGTAAATGTTTCTTTCAGACCTTTAAAGGTGTCAGATTATCAGTTAATCTTTTTGGATCTGGACAAAGAAGGGCCTCAGAGAAGGGCTGACTGCATCAGTGCAGATTTCCTCTACAGATGTAAATCTCTCCCACAAAAGGCAAATTTTCAGTGCTACTTCTTTGGAAGGCCCTCTAAGTAGCCATCTCAAAATATGTTAAAGTATATTTTAGGGTAAAATATTTTAGTTTCCTTCACTCGAGAGAGAAACTCTTTAAAATATATTAAATATGCATTTCCCAATAAATAACAGGATCAATTTCAGTACATCAAAATAAATGTTTGATAGTAATTTATATTTATATACCTTTCATTCTCAGTAGAAATAACACATTATAAATATTTTTCAAAGAATAATCATAATATTTACCATTTGCTGACAGTGTATTTTTCCATATTAATGATTATGGGGAATGTCCTGGCATTCAACATGAAATTTGAAGGCTGACAAAAAGAAGCAATGGTTGGAAAGAGCTCCCTATTTGATAAATGGTGCTTGGATAACTAGCTATCTATATGCACAAAGTTGAAGCCAGGCCTCTACCTTTCACCACATACAAAAATCAACTCAAAAAGGATCAAAGATTTAAATGCAAGGTCTTAAACTATAAAATTCCAGGAAGACAATCTAGGAAATACTCTTCTTGATATTTACCTTGGCAAATAATATTTTGTCTAAAAAAAGGAATTGCAACAAAAACAAAAATAGACAAGTAGGACCTAGGTAAATTAAAGAACTTCTGCACACCAAAAGAAACTATCAACAGGGTAAGTAGACAACCTACAGAATGGGAGAAAATATTTGCAAACTATCATCTGACAAAGGCCAGAATCTACAGGGAAATTAAACAATTCAACAAGCAAAAACCAAATAACTCCAATAAAAAATGGGCAAAAGACATGAACAGACACTTCTCAAAGGAAGACATACATACAAGTTGCCAACATACTTATGAAAAAATGCTTAACATCTCAATAATCGTCAGAGAAATGCAAATCAAAATCACAATGAGATACTATCTCACACCAATGTCTTGGCTATTTTTAAAAAGTCAAAAAATGACAGATGTTGGCAAGGCTATAGAGAAAAGGGACTGCTTATTCACCATTGGTGGGAATGTAAATTAGTTTATTCACTGTGGAGAGCAGTTGGAGATTTCCCAAATGTAAAACAGAATGATCATTTGACCCAGTAATCTCATTACTTGGTATATATTCAAGGGAAAATGAATCATCCTACCAAAAAGACACATGCACTCATATGTTCATCACTGTGCTATACACAGTAGCAAAGATATGGAATCAACCCAAGTGTCCATCAATGGTAGATTGAATAAAGAAAATGTGGTACATACACACGATTGAATAGTATGCAGCCATAAAAATAATAAAATCCTGTCCTTTGCCACAACAGTAATGGAGCTGGAGACCATAACTCTTGTCAAATTAATGCAGGAACAGAAAACCAAACACTGCATGTTCTTACTTATAAGTGGAAGCTAAACATGGACATAAATATGGGAACAACAAGCACTGTGGACTACTAGAGGGTGGGAGGGTGGGTGAAAAATCTACCTATCAAGTACTGTGCCCACTACCTGGATGACAGGATCCACACTCCAAACCTTCAGCAAATGCCATTATTCCCATGTAACAAATCTGCACGTGTACCCCCTGTATCTAGAATAAAAGTTGAAATTTTAAAATATTAGTTAAAAAGACAGAAATAAAATATACTGGTGTGTATAAGAAATGAATAGCTGGTTAAAGAGTACTGTAAAGGCCAAGGCAAAAGTTTCCAGTTGCTCTCTGAAGTATCACTGAAAATTACTAAGAAGAGGCAGATTAACAGGAGAAAAGGCATACACATTTATTAATGAGTACACAGTAGCTTTCAGAATAAAGGCCCAAAGATACGGGAGAAATTGTCCATTTTTATGCCTAGATTCAACAAACCATAAACAGCTATGTAGAAATGTAATTGAACAAAAAAGGGTATGATCTAATGCAGATAGATTGAGTGGGGAAACCCAGCAAAACTTGTCTGTCTAGATTCTTCTTGTCCTCTCTGAGCGTGCATTTCTTCATTCTGGATATGGGACAGAACTCCTTATGAAATGGAAAGCTTATGACCTACAGTCAAATAAGATAGGTCAGACAATTTCTTTACAGCCAGGTTTCACACAGAAAGGTGGAGGAAAAGTTAGATTAATATTTTTAGCTTTCATGGCTGGCTCTGGGGAAAAGGGGTCTGGTTTCTATGACCTACCATGGATAAAAGGGATTCTAGTTTCTGCGGCTGGCCTCAGGGGAAAATGTGAATATGACACAGGAGGGCAGAAGATCAGAGAAAACCTTTTGTTTCTGAGGCTGCTTCTGAAGCCTTCATTTTGGGGCATTGTTTTCTGAGTTCCAACTGTATGCAAATTAAAAATAGTAGCTAAAAATAGAATATAATATTAGTGTTCATTATAAATTCAGTATAGATATTATCATGATTTATAATACCTTCTTCTGGGCAATAGAAGACAATCAGGGCATCATGAAAAACTCATCTATAAAGTGATTTGTAAACTGAACCCATAAAATATGATACATACAGGTTAGAAATAAAAATAACCTCAAATGTCCCCTTTACTGATTGTTTGAATCATTTTTATTAGCAAATAATCACTAAGTATTTTATACTTTTGCTTCATGTATTAGTTTGTTTTCACATTGCTGTAAGGAAATACCCAAGACTGGGTACTTTATAAAGAAAAGAGGTTTAATTGACTCACAGTTCCTCATGGCTGGGGAGGCGGCGAGGGAACAATCATGGCGGAAGGCATCTCTTCACAGAGTGGCAAGAGAGAGAATGAGTTCAAACAGGGAAAATCCCAGATGCTTATAAAACCATCAGCTCCTGCCAGGCACGGTGGCTCATGCCTGTAATCCCAGCATTTTGGAAGGCCGAGGCGGGCAGATCACGACGTCAGCAGATCGAGACCATCCTGGCTAACACGGTGAAACCCCGTCTCTACTAAAAAATACAAAAATTAGCCGGGCGTGGTGGCGGGCACCTGTAGTCCCAGCTGCTGGGGAGACTGAGGCGGGAGAATGGCGTGAACCCTGGAGGCGGAGCTTGCAGTGAGCTGAGATCACGCCACTGCACTCCAGCCTGGGCGACAGAGCGAGACTCCCTCTCAAACAAAACAAAACAAAACAAAACAAAACAAAACAAAACAAAAACAAAAAAACCATCAGCTCTTATGAGACTCACTCATTATCATGAGAACAGCATGAGAGGAACTGCCCCCAAGGTCCAGTTACTTCCACCTGGTCCTGCCGTTGACACATAGGGATTACTACAATTAAAGGTGAGATTTGGATGGAGACACAGAGCCAAACCACATCACTTCATAAAGGTTTTATTTTGTATTTTTTATTTAATTCTAATAGCGGTGAAGCTATATAATTTTTACCACCAATGAGTATGAGCTAGCAAAAAGCAACCTGAGACTCCATATCTTCAAAAAAAAAATTATGTATTAGTTGGGCATGGTGGCACAGGCCTGTAGTTACAGCTAGCTACACAGGAGGCTGAGGTGGTAGGATCATTTGATCCCTGGAGGTTGAGGCTGCAGTGAGCCATGACAGCCACTGCACTCCAGCCTGGGTGACAGAGCAAGACAGTGGCTCAAAATAATAATAATAATAATAATAACAATAATAAAGCAAGAATGTATTTCTGAAGATATGCAATAATAGATACTTCAATTTGATTTTGTTACTTTTGTTTATAAAGTCATAACTAAAAAAACTATAAATTTTAAAAATTTGTTTTAATGAATTGTTTAGTTAATGTAGTTATAATTTTTTTACAACTGAAACACTTAAAGAATATTTAGTATTAAAATAAATGATGTTCAACAACTTAAAAATATAAATTTTAGCTCAAATTGGTTTAAGTTCTAAATTATAGTATTTGAATGCATTTTATTCTACTAAAATTGTAATGCAATGTTTTTTGTAAATAGGTTTAAAGGACAGTAAATACATGTATCTGAGCCTGAAATTACTCCAATTTTCTAAAATCATAGTAAAATTGATTTAGTTGTTTTGTTTACTTTTACAATTACTGGGGAGAAATACATTTTCAGACCCTAATGGTAACAATCTATCACTCCGAATCTGCTATTTTGGTACCAAAATCAAAATATTTTACATATTTCTCTTACTTTTGTAACATTTTGAAGCACAAATCTTAATTAAATAAAAAAGGCAATGGCTTTGTCCTATAGTCTAACATTTTTAATCAGTTAAATTTAATCGGTCATCAATTTCAGATCTATGCACCTGAAAAGGACCATTTTGCCAACCTTTGTTTCAGAGAAGTGAGAAAACAACAATCCCAAAATAGTATTTTGTAAAGAGTAATTAATTTACTATTTTTCTCTATAAAATTCAGTAGGCAGTCTTACCCTCCACCCTGTGACTTTTGCTAATGCCAACACCACTATTTAGGAATTGTTAAGGAGAAAGCAGTAATTAGCTACTATTTCTTTTATTCTAAAAGATCTGAATTTAACTTCTAAGTTGTCACATCACAGTCACATTTATCTTTAATTATTTTATGCTAATCCTGATTTCTTAGCTTGCCATTATTGGCATACAAATGTAAACTCATAATATAGTCACAATTTTCTTGAAATAATGAAGTTAGACTATCCATGAACGGATAAGTTTTTTTTAAAAAATCATGCAATTTCAGTGGCCTCAAAGTTTTTCTTCTCTTCATTTTCACACAGGGTCTCACTCTGCAGCAGAGAGTGCAGTGGCACAAGCTCACTAACGACTAGGTCTCCTGGCCTCAAGCAATTCTCCCACCTTAGCCTCCTGAGTTGCTGAGACTAAAGGCATGCACTACCATGCCTGGCTAATTTTTTTCCCCACTTTTTGTAGAGACATGTTTTCGCTATGTTGCTCACGTTGGTCTTGAACTCCTGGGCTAAAGGAATCCTTCGGCCTCATCCTCCCAAAGTTTTAGGATTACAGGCAAGAGCCACTGCACTTCCCTCACAGGAAGCTTTTTTTACAATTTATGCATGGTTTTAATAGAAATGATTCAGAATCTCTTTTGTATCAGAGGAATCATGAAGATCTAAAATAACTAAATGAATACTTACCATAGAAAAGCCTACAAAATAAGGGAATAAGCGATGTTTAAACTGAAGCTATTGATTTAGGAATATATTGTTTAACATTTAAAAGTATGTAAACATAAATTATAATGGTCTAAAAAATATATTTTCTTACACATGGTTGAACTTGATTTATAAAATGTGAATTGTTCAATCAAGCCATTATATTCTAATTTTAAAATTAAAACTTTTGTCTAAATAATTGTCAATTCTTCTGACTACTAAATTTGGGTTTTAAAAAATATGCATTGTATTACTCATTATCTCTTTGTTTCCTATAAAAGTATACTAAACAGGTGGGAGGGGGATGAAGCATACAAGACTACACATTGGGTACAGTGTATACTGCTTGGGTGATGATTGCACCAAAATCTCAGAAATCACTACTGAATAACTTATTCATCTAACCAAACACCTCTTCTTCCCCCAAAACCTATTGAAATAAAAAATAAATTTAAAAATAGTGTACTAAACAGATTGTAATTTTTTCTCATTGAATGCCACAATAGTACTTCCAGATTCCAACAACAGACCTTGAAATTTTTAGTTTGGGTATTGGGTATCTAGTTTGGTTATTATTAGGTTAACTCAATAAATTTCTCCTCATTGATATAAAAATTATTCCCGTGTAACGTGTGGGATAGATCAGTCTTGGACTAGATGCTGATTTTCCTGTCTTGTCATCAGTCTCTGCCTTACTTACTCCATGATTATTTGACTTCCTGCTAAAGTAATTACTTCAGAATAGAAGGAGATGAAGTAGAAAAATTATTCCAGCAAACATCTTACAAAATACCTTTCCATTTGTCTTTTACAATGAACCAGGTAGAAAATGGTGAATTCATGAGGATTTCAAGAGGCTCTCTTCATGAAATATTTCCATATTAGCCAGAGAACAAAATGTCTCCTAATGTTCTGTCAGAGTAAAATTAAGTCTGAGACAAAATTAACAAAAACTATTTATTCATAAAATTAAGACAAGAGAGCCCATGTGCCAATACAGCTCAGCAGGGAAAGAATAATACATTTTATAGAGTGAATAGATAAAAGATTGAGACAGTCTTTGATTGGCAAGCATTCTATTAAAATGCAAGTTTTGGAAGTGGAGGCAGCTTTCTTCAGTTACGTTTGGCAGTCCCTGGTTGGCTGCAAGGAGGCAAGGGAGCTTTTCAAGGATGCTTCAAAAGAGGAAGGATTGCTCCATGTTAAGAGTGGAAGATTTTCTGTAGCTAGCTACTTTATAAAAAGTAGAGGTAATTGGGCTCCTTTTTTTCTGTTGTCAGGCTTTCACTGTTACAGTGGTCCTTATTAGGGGGGTGGCTATGAGGTCAAGCAAATTATGTTCAGATTTATTTTCTTTTTAGGCCTTCTTCTTTAGGAACAGTTCAGTGTCCACTGGTGAAAGCAGACTGTATTCAAGCAATTATTATTGAAATTCTTTAACTTTCTTGTGTGAAAGGGAGTAATAATATCAATATTATTTGAGCAAATACAGGATTTGTAAAAGGACTAAAATAGACATGCTAGTAGCATCCCAGTTTTCCCCTAGCCTTCTGCTATTGCTTCTCTTTTTATATTTTGCTGTTTACTTCCCTCACCCTATAAACTTACACTAGCCCATAATTCTCTCAAGCTGGCAAAAAACAATTTCCAAAAAAATACTGTGGTGATGTTTTTCAGGATTGCACCAATGGCCCCGAGCAAAGAGCCTAAATTTAGGACCAACTTTCAACTGTAAGTTTCAGCTAAAGTGAAAATTGCTGCTTAAGCCAAAACAACAAAGACAATAAATTAACTTTCCTCTTGCTATAAAAACCCTGACCCTTCAGTGGGTAATCTCTGGGTCTTCAGGTGCTACCTGATGCATGTCAGCTAAATAAATAGTTTAACCTCTACTTTAGTTATTTAAATAATTTTATTTCTGATAGATATGTAAATTCAATCTTGTCTGATACTGATCATAATTGACTTCCTTCCACCGTGGAAAATCTGGTTTTGTCCACATTCACAATGTACCTCAACATTCCTTTACTTCATGGAAATTTGTGCTTTTTAATTTTTTTTGTACTGCTATAACATCTACCTGGTTACCTCATATTATATGAGGAAATAAATTATTTAATGTGTATTATTTATTATGCTGTATGCAAGTCACAATTTTATCTTTTTCTAAAAATTACCTTTTAACATCTCTTTGTAACCTTTCTAAATCCATCAGAATAGTCTGTGAATGTATAAAAGTCTAATGTCTTTAAATGATGTTAAAGGATCATCTTATGTGTGAACTTCATGTACTAAAGCAAGGATGGTAAATGCAATTTAAATGTTTATGTCAGAGCTGATAAGATTGATATACAAATAGACAGACAAAGGGACAGATTATGTTCCAGTAATTGGTGACCTTCATTCCCCTGAGTTTTATCAATTGATCCTCTGAAAATTAAAAATGGATGCTTGAATAAATAGAACTATTGCACTCTTATGACCGCTAGTCATACAAAACAGATAAATTCAATATAGTAGGAAAGAGTTCATAGTAGTTTGACCACATGTAATAGTTGTGAAGGAGAGAACATTTGTGACCAAAGTGAATAGAAAAAGATAAAAATATACTTGAGAGCTAGTGCTGAGAAGGGAAACAAATCTCTTCCATCTACATCACACTCATATCTCCATTGGACTCTATCTCTCTTTCCAATTAAAAATGTCTGTCACTGAGAAATACAAACCACCTATTGTTAGAGTCTGTTGATGCCTGTCAATAGCAATGTTTCTCTTCTTCTAAATGCAAAGTAAACACTGAGATAACAGTTATTAGGTACTTTTTCATCTTGGGTAATCTGATGATCTATTTAACACCTAAAATTGTATTGCCATGGGAAAAATACCAAAATGATGAATCTTGGATCCATGTACTATAGATGTACCTGTCATAGAACTGATTTTTACAGAATTTTCACACGGCATGCATGAAAGAGTTTCATTTTAATTCATTTTCTATTGATACATTATTTTCTCAGAATTTGCTTTATATACAAATAGTGTTTGTACTGTTCTCACAAGTACTGTGGATTTTTACTAAACCATTCAACTCTTGTTTCTTCATTACCTCAGCAAATTTCCATTAGCTAAGAACCTGAAAGTCTCTGTAGAGAAGACTTAAGAAAATAGGGAAGGGTTAAAAGAGAAGACAGGAAGAGAACACCAAGATTACCTGAAATTAGAATTGATAAGTTTGTAGGAAAATACTATAATAAATATCAGAAAGCCAGCTTTCTATTTTGGTTTTATTGCTCACTAGCTATGTTATTTTTAACACATCATACACATTCTTATGTTATGTCTCTTCCATAGTAAATACTAAGAATGGATTAATTTAGTGATTCCCAAAGTTAATGATACGAGTTATGATAAAGTTTTTACCTGCTTGTCATAAAATTAGAAAGACCAAAAAATAAAAGATGTTTTGTTTTATTTTTTAGAGACAGTCTCTCTCTGTTGCCCAGGCTGGAGTGCAGTGGTACAATCATAGCTCACTGCAGCCTCAAACTCCTGGGTTCAAGCAATCCTCCTACCTCAGCCTCCTGAGTAGCTGGGACTGCAGACACACACCACCACACTTGACTTTTTTTTTTTTTTTATAGAGATGGAGTCTCATTATATTGTCCAGGGTGGTCTAGAACCCTGGGCCTCAAGTGATCCTCCCACCTCAGCCACTCAAAGTACTGGGATTAAAGGTATGAGACATGATGCCTGGTCTGTTGTTTTATTTTTAATACAATTAAATATGTTAAATTTCAAAAGGTTTCTCTGATTTTGAAATTAGTCTTCCATATTATAGGGAGAATCATATAATTTAGGATTAGGTTTGTTTGAAGGTATAGGTTAAATTTGAGATATTTATTAAATATGTAAGAGGAATTGTCAATAGGTAGCTGGACCCTGTGTTTGGCTAGAAATCAAATGCTTTTAAAACTGACTCCTTATTTCTATTCACTCTTCGTCCCCCAAACTATGCCCTAAGATAGGTCTACCCTCACTTGCTGCTACAGTTTGAATGTGTCTCCTCCAAAATTAGGTGTTACTAGTGTGATAGTACTAAGAGATGGGGTCTTTAATAGGTGATGAGGCCATGAGGGTCTCTCCTTTGTTAATGAGATTAAGGCCCTCATAAAAGGATTCACACATTTGGCTAGTTCATCCTTCCATTTTACATGTGAGGACATAGCATTCCTCTCCTCTAGATGATGTACCCCTTGCCAGACTACCATACCTGCTTTGATCTTGAATGTTCCAGCCTCCAGAATATGACTGTAGGCTGTCCAGGCCTCAGAACAGTGAAAAAATAAATTTCTGTTCTTAATAAATCACATGGTCTGAGGTAATTTGTCATAGCAACACAACACTGGCTCTGAGACTCCTAAAATTTGAATTGATAATTCACAGGTAGGTAGTCAGACATAAGCAGGGCAGGAGAGGGCTCCCTCACTACCAGGAATGTTTGATGACCATTAGATGATGGCCAGGCAGTTGTTAAAATATCTCTCTAAAATAATAATTGGTTGCAGCCTGCACCAGGGAAAGGCAGTCTTCTAATCGATAGAAAACATCTAAAGCTGGTGAGAAGCAGCTTCATGATAAGATCTCTGGAGTTAGGCAAGTGGGCTCAAGCATGCACACCAAGAGACAGAATGGTGGAGTTTAACTGGTATGTGTTCTTCCTCTAGGAACACTCAAATGGTAAGGGAAAAACACCTCAAGTGAGCATGCATACAACTTCTGTAAACACACTGAGTGTGCGGCCCCTCCCAAATGCTGGCAGGCCACTGCACATGGGAACAGCCCACCCCAAGGGAAAAGTCAGGAGAGAAGAGATGCAAAACCTGGAAGCATGCCAATGTATAAAGCCCCAAGTCAAAGGTCAAATAGTGCACTTGAATCTCTCAAGTCACCCACTTGGCCCTCTTTCAAATGACTTTACTTCCTTTTGTTCCTTCTCTAAAACTCTTTAATAAACTTTCACTTCTGCTCTAAAACTTGCCTCAGTGTCTCACTTTGCCTTATGCCCCGTCGGTCGAATTATTTCTTCTAAGGATGCAAGAATTGAGGTTGTTGCAGACCCATACAAATTTACCACTGCTAACAATGGGAGAGGTATTTTAAAAACACAGAAATACTGCATTGTTGTTTTATGTTGTTCACCCATGAATCCACTAGGTTTTCATGAGCAGGTGTGGAATGTCTATTAGTTGGTTGGTTTTTCATAAATAGGTGATTTATATGGTTCTAATTAGAGGACAGTAAGACTAGCTCAACTCACTAAGACTCTGAATAGAATCTGAATCTTTTCCTTGCTTTCACACTCACTGCAGGACCCTACCCAATTTTCACAACTAGTGCTAAATAGGCCCTTAATAATTTTATTTTCTTATTTCCCTTGGCTTCCTGAATAAAATGGAAAAGAGAAAATGTTTTGAAGAGCGGAAAATCCTTTAGCGACTAACCAGCAGTAAATCTCTGGTCTAAGGCATGAGCAATTAATATTCACTCTTTTTTGATTTTTAAAAACATTGGCTAGATTCTATTGCTACCATAGGGGCCAAGGGAAAAACTTTCTTTTTGTACCCTGAATGTTTGCTGAGAAATCAACTACAAAGGCAGATTGATAAGAGAAGAGGCACAGAAATTTATTAACATGCACATGGGGAAGAACCACAGAGTAATTATCCATACTCCCTGCTCCCCCAGTGTGGTTCAGAAGCTTATATATTGTCTTGAGTTTACAGAAAGAAGAGAAGCTTGGATCCTGGCGAAACAGGTTATGGGAGGGAAAGGAAAAGGAATTCTGTTGAAGTGCAATAAATAATTTCTAGGGAGAATGAATAGATGGGGAACAGAGATTAACTTGTAAATAGTTCTTTCTGGAATCTGAACGGGCCTGAGAAATAAACTCTATCTTATAAAAGGGTCTCTTCAGGTGTGGTTATATGCTACCTTCTTGGTCTTCTTTTCTATAATAGATAATGGGATAATGGGTAGGGTAAGAAAAAAAATTTTTCTCTTTAGGGGGTCCATCTGATCTGGTCTTCATTTAGATAGGGAAAAAGTCTCTTCCAGTGTCTGTTGACCTCTAAGTCCTTTAATTCTAAATACTCACTATACCAGGGAGCCATGTTTTAGGATGAAATCCCTACATTCTTTGACTATTTAAACTTCATCCTATGTGAGAATTACTCTCTCTCTTTGAATTCTAACTCATTTAACAACCATTGATTCAATAATTGTTTATTCTCTACCTATTATATTATGCAACATGCTAAACATGGATAAGGCCAGTAATAGAAACAGTATAGGTTTTCAAGGAGCCTGAAGTCTAGTGTGAGATAGAGGCATATTAAAAACTGATACCCATTGTAGCTTTTAGGCATTAGAATTAAGTACTATGGAAACACTGGGAAGAATGTTTATTGGACACACACATTTGTATGTAGGAACCAAGGCCCTTGTCTCCTGGAGGTTTGAACATCACTGACATGAGGCAGATTGATTAATAGGAGAAAAGGCATACAAATTTATTTAACGTGTGTACATAGGAACCTTCACCATGAAGACCCAAAGATAGAGGGGAAATTGTCCATTTTTATCCTTAGGTTCAACAAAGTGTGGACAGCCATACAGAAATGTGATTGGACAAAATGGTATGATTTAATGGTGATAGACTGAGTTGGGAAACCCAGCAAGGCCCTTCTGTCTAGACTCTTCTTTGCCTCTCTGTGCATGCCTTACTTCCTTTTTGGTATGGGGCATGGCCCTCTCTGGAATGGGGGTCTTTTAACATATAGTCAAACAAGATAGATCAGATAATTCCTTTATGGCCAGTTTTTGACACAGGTAAGGTATAGGGACAATGGTAGTACAATTTTTAAGTTTTGTGACTGGCTTTAAACAAAATTGTCTCTGGTTTCTATGACCTGCCTTGAAGAGGAGATATTCTAATTTCTATGGCTGGCATTGGGGGAAAATAGGACTGAGATACAGGAGGGCAGGAGAAGTTCAGAGAATAACTTTTCTTCTAAGGCTGCTTCGGAAGACTTTATTTTTCCGCATTGTTTTCTAGCCCCATGTACATTCTCAGATTCCCTTTACCACCCACTTCCTTTTTCTTTCTTTCCTGGTGTGCTTACATAAAAATTAAAAAATTACTCATCCAACTCTAGATTTCAATAAAATGTTCTACTGCAGGATATGCACTTTGGCTTTTTGACCAGCCTCTAAAGGGCAAGATGGTAACATCTAGAAAGCTAGCTTCCAATGTTACAACTTTGACTAATGCAGAAGAGAAATCATGGAGGACAGGGGCTAATATGCTACCCTCCTCTTTTTTCTAAATGGAATACTGTGAGGTGTAGTTTCTCCTTCCGAACTTTCCAGATCAGCCAACATGCTGAGCAAACACATCTGAGAAATAGCATCCCATGCCTTTTGGTAGCTCATTGTCATGTAGTGACGAGGCAGGCAAGGTAGGCAAGATATAGTACCATATTGCTGAATATATTTTCTTCTTTTTAATCCTCAATGTTACCATTCAAGACTTCCACCTCCTAAACAAATTATTAGCACTTTAAATCTTGCCTCTGGCTGTGATTCCAGAAGACCTGGCTTAATACACATATTTAACTTTGTTTAGTGAAGATCGTAATTTTACCATATGAGAACCAACATTTTTACTACAGTCAGAATTAAAATAAAAGCAATTTTTATATTGACATTATTTTTTATCTAAAGAAGAGTCCCATTCTTTAAAAAAAAAAAAAAACAAAACAAAACAAAGATAAGCTTTATTAAAAGAGCATTCCTAGTAGGGTTAAATTATGAGACAATCACGTTAAGGGCAGTTTCTCTGCATGTGGTTGTATGAGTGTATTTTGCACAAAGTCTTACAATCTAGGAATTAAATAGAGTTTAAAACCCAGCCTCAACTAAACTTGCTCATCAAGCCCTTAGCATCAGTTTATAGCTGTATCTTTTCAGAGGAAAAGGCACTTTTATTAAATGCACTTGATAAGAGATATTGACACCCCTATCTGTGGACTTGCCTTTTATCTACCTATATAGTTATGTAAAAAATTAAATTTATAATTCTTAGCACAAATAATTCCAAAGGGAAAATTAATCATACAATCTTATCACGCAGCCAGTTGTAGTAGTCTTAAAAGATAATCAACTGCAATTAAAATAACTTGTTTTTGAAGACGGTAGCCCCATGCTTTAGTGAGAAGAAGGATAAAATCAGTAAGAAATACTTTTCTCCAAAACTAGTTTGCTTAATTTTCCATATAAGGCTTTGGACCTTGAATGCTTACCAATACAAACTATTTGTCATATAATGTCTGCCACATAAGAAATACTTAATTGGATCTATAAATGAAATTTGATAGATCATTGGTCTGTGGTCCATTAAATACTCCAGCTGGCCAATACTTTTATGAAGAAGAACTAACTTTGTGGCAGATCTCACCAATTAATTAAAATTACAGAAATCTCTGGTAATGTTTTTAATGTAAGAGACATTCAGGCTTCTTCCCACTTCTGGCATTATAGATGACTGCTGCAGTACCCAACGTTTTTGGCACCAGGGACTGGTTTTGTTGAAGACAATTTTTCCAGGGACTGTAGGGAAGGTGGTTATGGGATGATTCAAGCACATTACATTATTGTGCACTTTATTCCTATTATTATTACATAGTAATGTATAATGAAATAATTATACAACTCACTATAACGTAGAATCAGTGGGAGCCCTTAGCTTGTTTTTCTGCCATCAGACAGTCCCATCTGGGGGTTTACGGAGATCGTGATAAATCATCAGGCATTAGATTCTGAGAAGGAGCGTGCAATCTAGATCCCTCGCGTGTGCAGTTCACAACAGGATTTGCACTCCCATGAGAATCTAATGCCACTTGCTGATCTGACAGGAGGCAGAGCTCAGGTGGTAATGTGAGCAATGAGAAGTGGCTGTAAATACAGATGACGCTTTGCTCACTTGCCCCCGACTCACCTCCTGCTGTGCAACACGGTTCCTAACAGGACTGGTCCATGGCCCAGAGTTGAGGACCCCTGGATGAGTAGATACTGTGAAAGGACTTCACAATTAAAAGAAAACCCTGGATAACTCACAAAAACAACAAAAATATTTTATACCTTACAGAGAAACTCTAAAGCAGGCAGCTGCTCAGAAGTCCCAGCAGCTTTCAGTGTTGCAAGAAGAGAACGTTGAACTTACTGAGGAGCTGGGGAGAAGCAGGGACAAAGTCACAAGTCATCAAAAAACTAACACCCTAAAGAATTGATAGTTTTGTTGTAGAAAACATTTACAAAATACTATTTGAAATGTAGTTTAATGCATGCTTTAATAGATACCTATAATGACTCTTACGGAAATTAGTCAAAAATATTTAACAAAATAAATGTCACCCGAGATCAGTCTTGTGTGACAAATAGGCATTAGGTAGGTAGAACAGATTATGAGCATATTTAGGCCAGAGAGAACAGCATAGGGCATGAGAGCATAACCATTCATGTAAGGAGAGGAGGAGCAGGCAATAAAAAGGGGGTTATATCCTTATTGATCATGTCATTGTGCTTCATTTTCTCTTTAAGTCATTAATAAACTCCAGAATGACTTTGAAGCTTTGAAAACAGTTTTAGAAGCACAATTCTGACAAGTAGGGTTTTAAAAATGGTTTGTAGCATTATCAGACTAAATACTAGAAACTCATCTAGGAAGCAGTTGTGGTGTACAGGAAGAGGAAATTTTCTTCTCTCGCTTTGAAGGCTCAATAATTTGAGTCTATAAAACAAACTGACAATAGACAGATTAACAAGAGAAAAGGCATAGAAGTGTAGTATGTGCACATATATATGGAAGCCACATAAAATATGAGACTTGTAAATGGGAGAGATGACAGAAATTTCTGTACCATACAGAAAAGTATAGGGGCTAGGAGTTCATGGAAGATGATGGTGACAAACCATTGGAGGGTAAGGAGAGGAAATTTACTACAAATAAACATTGTCCTCTTATTAAGCAGATAATAAGACTCTCAGGTAATAGCTCTCAGAAGAATATGTGACATCCTGTGGCAATCTCTGAACAAGGGTGTTAACACGATCTTTTCTAAATCCAGATAATGCGAATAAGGGAGCCTTAGAGAAAACCTGTTTACATTGGCTATTTACTAATGAAAATGCATTCCTTTGTGCATGCAAATCTCTCCCACAAAAGGACAGTTTCTCAGAGCTATTCCTGTGTCTACAACCCCTCCCGATAGCCATCTCAAAATATACCAAAGAAACACACTTTGAGGTGACATATTTTAATCTCCCACAATGGATTGGCACAAAGTAAGATAAATTCACACCACTTTCAACATCCTAATTAGATTAGGGTATTTTGTTTCCTATAATTTAAGTCTATCTGTAATTTCAGTTATATTAGTTCACCTAGAGTAGAACAGACTCCGAAAGACAAACTTTCATTAGCTAAACTCAGAGAAAACTGATTGTTTAACCCATCAGACATAGAGCATTCTAGTTACTGAAATAGTCCTCACTCCTTTTCTTAGTATCAGGCTCTTTGGGAACTGATAGAGTTATTAGAAGTTTGTTTAGTGTTTATAGGGTTACTAAATCATGATAAGTGATAATTTATATGAAACAACCAATAAATATTCAGCAGTAATTTCTGATTATTCAAATGTATAATGTTCTTCTTTCTTAGGCGAGACTGTCCTTACTTACTGATGTAACTGCCCAATGGGTTCACCTTGTCCACTGCCCAGACAGAGCTAATTTATCAAGACAGTGTAACTGCAATAAAGAAAGAGTAATTCACACAGAGGTGGCTGTGCAGGAGACTGGAGTTTTATTATTACTTAAATTAGTCTCCCAGAAAATTCAGGAATTGGAGTTTTAAGGATAATTTGGTGGGTGGGGGATCAGTGAATTGAAAGTTCTGATTGGTCAGGTAGGAGATGAAATCATAGGGAGTCGAAGCTGTCCCCTTTTGCTGAGTCAGTTCTTGGGTAGCGGGGACCATAAGACCAGATGAACCAATTTATCGATTTGGGTGGTGTCAGCTGATCCGTAGATTTTACAATAGTGATATTATCCCTAGGAGTTATTTGGGGAGGGTCAGACTCTTGCAGCCTCCAGCTTCATGACTCCTAACCCATGATTTCTAATCCTGTGGCCAATTTGTTAGTCCTGCAAAGGCAGTCTAGTCCCCAGGCAAGAAGGGGGTTTGTTTGGGGAAAGGGCTGTTATTGTCTTTGTTTCAAGGTTAAACTATAAACTAAGTGTCTCCCGAAGTTAGTAAGGCCTATGCCCAGGAATAAAAAAGGACAGCTTGGAGGTTAGAAGCAAGATGGAGTTGGTTATGTCAGATCTCTCTCGCTGTAATAATAATCTCAGTTATAATTTTTGCAAAGGCAAATTCACTGTCAGCTGAGAAAGATAGAAGATAATTAAATAAAGTGTCTACAAGACTATAGCGGGCTTTCTAAGAGAGAATGATTGGATTAAAATGCAAAGGGAGAAGTTTCTGCTAGTGGGTGGTATTTGTATTTTAAGAGCAGAATTTTATGGTTCATAGGTTCAAGCAAATACCCAATGTGCCAGACATTAACTGCCACTTAGCAACAGTGATAAAGAAGAAGAAAACATCTGGTTGTGGATAATGAGCCAGAGCTTCTCAGCTCCCTTGGATGCTAATAGTATTGGGCAAAGGTCATGGTAAAAGGCCATCTGGCTCCCTGTTAAAGATCTGTAGAGCTCTTTCCAAGCACTACAAATTATCAGCATATTTTTAGGAAACTGCAGGTAAGAAAATCTATTAAGTAGTAATATCTAACCACCAATTTTAAATTACTGACATGATTATATTTGATTAGCATTATGACTACTAAATATTAGATTTGTATCACAAACTATTAAAACATATGAACTATATAATAATAATATGCAAATTAGAAAAACTACATTTTAGATACAAAACAAATCATACTTATGTATTTAAGTTACCCATGCAGAGGAGCTATGTGTAGAATTGCAACTTAGAAGAGATTTAGTTTCAACAAATATTTTCATTTTCTGATTTTTCCTTAATTCCTACATTCATCATATGTCTATCAAAAATTACTTTATGGAAAACTTATGTTGTCACTCCTTCCTTATATAAACTCAATTATTATCTTTTTTATTAAATAAATTGTAGAATATCTCTGTGTCAGACACTGTGCCTGACATTAGGGACCCAACAAAATTAATACCCTAAAGAATTGATAGTTTTGTTATAGAAAACATTTACAAAATAACTACTTGAAATGTAGTATAATGCATGCTTTAATAGATACATATAATGACTCTTATGGAAATTAGTCAGAAATATTTAACAAAAGAAGTGTCATCCAAGATCAGCCTTGTGTGACAAATAGGCATTAGGTAGGTAGAACAGATTATCAGCATATTTAGGCCAGAGAGAACAGCATAGAGCATGAGAGCATAACCATTCATGTAAGGAGCAGAGGAGCAGGCAATAAAAAGGGAGTTACACTGGTCATGTCAATGTGCTTCATTTTCTCTTTAAGTCATTAGTAAACTCCAGAATGACTTTGAAGCTTTGAAAACAGTTTTAGAAACAATTCTGACAAGTAGGATTTTAAAAATGGTTTGTAGCATTACCAGACTAAATGCTAGAAAGTCACCTAGGAAGCAGTTGTGGTAACAGAGGAAGAAAACACTGATTATCTAAACTAAAACATGATTCAGTGATGATAAAGGAGAGAATGTATATTTCAGAGATATTTAAAAAATAGTATCAACAAATTTTGTTGTGAAATGGAGCATGAGGGCTTTGATAGAAATATTACGCAAAGGTGGATTGCAAATTAGAGTTTTGGTACATTGAATGGATAATAATCACATTGAATGTTGGGGCCCCCAAATCACTAAGCTAAAGGAAAAAGCCTAGCTGGGAGTTGCTCAGGGCAAACCTGCTTTCCATTCTATTCCAAGTCACCCTTCTGCTCACTGAGATAAATGCATATCTGATTGCCTCCTTTGCAGAGGCTAATCAGAAACTCAAAGAAATGCAACCCTTTGTCTCTTAATTATCTATGACCTGGAAGCCCCTTCCCCACTTCAAGTTGCCCCACCTTTCCAGATTAAACCAATGTTCATCTTACATATGTTGATTGATGCCTCATGTCTCCCTAAAATGTATAAAACCAAGCTGTGCTCTGATCACCTTGGGCACACGTTGTCAGGACTTCCTGAGGCTGCGTCATGGGTACTCAATCCTCAACCTTGGCAAAATAAACTTTCTAAGTTAACTGAGACCTCTCTCAGATTTTTGGGTTCACATTTTGGTAACCACGAAGGGATTCTGAGTGGAGGTACCCCTGACCTTTGACGAATCTCCTATCAGTGCTTGGTACCAGCATAAGCTAACTTTATGGCTCAAACCAATAGGATAATTTGCTAAAGCCTGGAAGCACCCCCTCCAGAGAATCCCTGATCTCCCAAAATTTGGTTGAGATTTAAAGTTTATTTTGCCTTTTTTTGAGTGGGGGTGGGGGGAGTTTTATTTGCTTCCAATAAGAAAGGCAAGATTTCCTGTTTCCATGACAATGAAAGGCAGGTAACTCCTTTATGGAGTTTGAGCTCGCTCCCAGCAGGGAAGATGACTTCGAGTTCTTTTTTCTGCTTTTAGGATGGTAGGAAGCAGTTTTCAGCCTGAGACCCATCACTAGGTAAGTAGCTGAATGGGTTTTGTCTTGGGTAACTTTTTAACAACCAGCTGGTCTAAATTTCTCCTTACCATTAGAGTGCTCAGTAATCATATTGTTGGTTTCTTTTGTTGTTGTTTGTTCTGGTCTTTCTCCCATCAGATTTAACCAATTCTACCTGACTTTGTCAAATCTGAGTGACAATTCCAAAGTATGGGTAACAAAGCTTCTCTATTTTGGTTATAATTTCTTGCAGCTGCAAAAGAGGAAGAAAAAAAAAAGACAAAACAAAACCCCAAAACCATGTGGTTGGTTTCTGGGTTTGTCTCTCGTCTCAGAAAAAAAAAAATACATATGTTCTTTTGTTTACTTTTCTTCCACCTTATACCTCCTTCCCTCTTTTGCCATCTGTAGTACCAAAAGTCTAGAGAAGGTTTCTGATGACTTCAACCCCTTTAAATAATTCAAAACAAAGGCACCACTCACCCCTTTTGGGGTGTTCTGTTTTCTTTGTGGAGTTTCAAGTGTCCTGGGCAGATTCTTTTTAGGTCTAAAGCTCTATTTTCCTGTATTGCATTACCTGACTTCTTTGGCTTTGGGGGTATTCACAGATGACCTTGTACTGTGAGAGGATTTGACCTTGGTGTGTGTAATGGCAGATGAGAGCTATAAAGTAGTGGGTGGCTGAGCACAGTTTACAGAAAGTGGTCTTGGCTGTTTTTCCCCCTCCTAGGAAGTCGTTGTTTAAGGATCCTAATTCTAGTTATGAGATGCATTCTAAAGGGTCTTCCCTATTTGCTTTTTCTTGTAAAATTAATCTTGACTTGGCTTGTCTGTGTGCATTTGCATGAGGAACTGAACTGTTGTTTTCATAGGTAAATGAGAGACTGAGTTTTCTCAGCTCCAAAGAGAAAGAGCATTTTGCTCCTCCCAGACAATAGGCACCCCTGGGTGACCAGGGGACTCATGGGAGTGTCTCGGGAGGGTTGACCCCCCATGATGTGCAGTGGCCCCGCAGGGAAATCCCCAATAAAAATTAATTTTTTTAAAAAAGGCTCCTTCAGGAAACATATATAAGGGATGATCACCTGGTGTTTCCAACCCTCTCAGAGCACAGACCTCTGGAGAGAGAAGCTGGAGAGAGAAACTACCCTCTACACATAAGAGGGTAGAAACAACTCAGTGGTAACACACTGTGGAGTCCTGCCCACAAGCAGCAAACACTGATCCACCACACAAAAACCCTAGGCCATGCTCAGTTCCTCCCTTTAAGAAATAAAAATGTGGGAAACAAATAATCTAAGAATGAGGAGAAAACATGGAGAATGACCCCCTTTCAAGCACTCTGTAGGTTTTATGACACCTCTACTTCCAGAGTTTATGTAAAATGGAAGTAATATGGTCTTGGTGCACATTTACAATACGGAAAAAGAGGCCTAAGTTCAACCTGCAAACTCTACAGTTCGTAAGTTCTCTTTTTTTCTCTATTTTCTTTTCTGCCTGCTTTAAATTTGGCGTTATTTTTCTATTAAGTTAAAAACCACATTTTGGATCCAACAAGTTTTCTGTCAGTAAATTTTTATTTATCTCGTGGCTAAAGTTCTGAAGTAAAAGCTGTAGGATCTCTCTGTGTGTGTGTGTGTGTGTGTGTGTGTGTGTGTGTGTGTGTGTGTGTGTGTGTATGTGTTTATATTTAGAAAGACTTTATAATTTCATGTTTAATTGGCAATTAAATCCATTTTAATTTCCCTCTAGCATACCAAAGTTTTTCTCTCTATAATTTGTGATGTAAATTTTGCTATCTTACTTTCACCTGAGTTATTTCTTTTAATATGCAAACTTAAAACTATTTAGCTGACAACTGCCTAGGGTTATCAAGAATTGATACAGGTTACCTATTTAAACAGGTTATCATGAATTCTGAAAGTTTAAAATGGAAAGCAAATCTTTAAGATTTACTTTTATCTGCATGCCTAATGTGTCTATTTATTTATGTGTTGTGTACACAATGTTTCACTACTTAAAATATATAAAAGAGCTCTAATTAATTGGCTTAAGAAAACAAAAGTGCTAGAATCAAATAGTTTATCAGGAAAAAAGAAAAGACTAGTCAAATGCTTTTTCAAGTTTACCTAACAAGTAAAATATTTAACAAGTAAGCTAGCTTTAAAACTATTGGTAAAGTACAATAATATTAAAAATGTCTTAAGAATTGCCAGAATACATTTTTGTTTGCATTTATCAATCAGGCAATTTCATACTTATCCCTATAAAATGCTATAAGGTGTTAAAATTCGGCATAAGGGTTACAAAACTATAAACCAACCCCAAACGAATAATCTTTGCTTCTGTAATTTTTTAATAAATAAGACATTGATATTGGTTTAATGAGAATAGCTACTGCTTGAATTTTGTAAAATTACCATAACTTTTAATCTTGTCCCTTTAGGCAGTCTAGTCTACAAGCAGTAAGGTTTGTTTTGGAAAAGGAAGGTTATCATATTGTTTTCAAAGCTAAACTATAAGCTAAGTTCCTCCCAAAGTTAGTTCTGCCTACACCTAGGGAAGAACAAGAACATCTTGGAGGTTAAAAGCAACATGGAGTCAGTTAGACCAGATATTTTTAACTGTCTCAGTTATAATTTTGCAATGGTGTTGCCATAACTTTAAATGATGACTACTGCAATTTTCATAAATAATCTAGGTAAATGATTAAAATAAAAGAATTGGGTAAATATAATGGGATAAATACTTGTAGTCAAACTTATCATAATTTAGAATCATAAGATATATTAAGTTGAACAAAAGATATTTCATTATTTGGGTATTTTCTAATAAAAGTCTATTTGTAGAAAGACATTCATTCTAAAAATAAATGTGTCCTTTTTAAAAAGGTGAACAATTTTGTTCTAATTCAAAACACATTTAAAGGTTATGTATTAAACAAGGTAAAAGGAATCAAGAAATAAGAGATATGTAAAGAAAATTATAAGAATAAAGAGGGGCTAATTTTTTGTTAAGAAAGTTTAAAGACAAATAATTTTATATAAAAGAAGAAGCTTGTGTGGTAAATTTAGTCCTAGAATAAAATGACTGGTTATTTAAGAAAGAGGGATGTTCAGGACAAACCAGAAAGTTGAAGCATATCATGAATGGTCAGTGTAAGTCACAGTAAGAGGATTTAGACAAAAAAAAAAAACAAAAACAAAAACAAAAAAAAACAACAACAAAAAAACCCTTTTATATGATCAAGTTGTCTATTATTAAAGGAAAATTATAATGGTCTTTCTAAAGATTGGGCTTGATGTAAAAAATATATATGTGTATACACTAAATAATTGGTTAGAACAATGACTTTTTAAAGGGATTGATTTACTTTTAATAATTTATAAGATATTTTCAACTTTTTTAACCCAAAGTTCAACTTTTATTGCTTCTCACTGGTTTTGGTTTTCTCTCCCCTTTTAAACAGCTCAAAATAGTAATGCTCTCCTTCAACTTATTGTTAGCTCATGTAAGATTTTTCCTCGAGTTCTGTATGTTGTGGCTTAATGCTAACAATGTTTTCTTAAAGGTCTAAAGGAAATGTTTTCTTCCAACCTAATATATTGTGCAATGAAGAAGGTCTTTTCTTTCGGCTTTGGTAACCGGTCTAATGGATTTTATGGTTTATTGAAACAATTTCCATGCCATTATTATTAAGTTTTAGTTTGCTTAGGAAAAAAACTGAGATTAAAATTTTTTAAAAATATTAAGGTTATTACATTCATGTATCTTTCTGTATGTGCTTTTAATTCCCTGTGACTTTGAGTTACAGGGCTTTAACTCCTGGGTGGAAAAAGGATGCCAAGTCCTAATAAATCTTAAACACTGATAGCAATTAAAGCCTTATCTTCAGACCCGGTAGGAGACCCCAATAAAAATAAACTGCATTCCTAAGACACAGGGCCAGGAATTAAAGCTATGCAACCACTCGAGGCCCAGGGACTATCATGGAAGAGGTGGGCATGTGAGACTGTAAGGGCCAATTTTAAAAGATAAAAGAAGTTCAGTTTATCTATAAATTCATCATTAAAGTCAACAGGACACTCATGCAAGGCCAGCATATGGACCCCACTGTCAGATTAACAAGATTTTTTTTGAAGCATTAACCAACTCCTTAATAAAGGTATTAAAGGGCCAGGCACAGTGGCTCATGCCTGTAACTCCAGTACTTTGGGAGGCAGAGGCTGGCAGATTACCTGAGGTTGGGAGTTCAAGACCAGCCTGGCAAACATGGTGAAAAACTGTTTCTACTAAAAACACAAAAATTAGCCAGGCATGGTGGCAGGCACCTGTAGTCCCAGCTACTCGGGAGGCTGAGGCAGGAGAATCACTGAAACCTGGAAGGTGGAAGTTACAGTGAGCTGAGATCACACCACTGCATTCCAGCCTGGGCAACAGAGCGAGGCTTGGTCTAAAAAAAAAATTGATAAAAAATAAAGATATTAAAGGTTATAAAAGGCTTATGGAAGTTATATCTTATGGTCAAAATTAATATTTTATAGATTATAAAATTTTGAAAAATAAAATTAATTAATTTCATGCTGTTTTATAAGTGCTTATTTTTTGGAAAATTAAGTCTCCTCTCTCAAAGAATGAAGGATTTGACCTTTTTAATTAATTCTTGAGTTATCACTTTGGTCAAATGAATGACTTGTTTTATAATGACCTGTGATATCAGGTGTTTTTAACTTTTGATATTTGACAAACTTTCCAAATGAAATTATAAATTATGTCTTTTTCTTTCCTAATTAATCCTTTTAGATACTAGGTTCCCTAAAGTTAAAAAATGACACAATTTGGCTTATTTGATATAAAAGTTATATAAGAAACATTGCCAAATATAATATGATGTTTGGTTGTCTTTGGGCTGTTTATATAAATATGTTATTGGGTATGTGTTTTAAAATTATGGGAGACTCCTGTAATTCTGATATGACTTAGTGTACATTGTCAGTAATAATTACAATTCTTATATTAAATTGTTGTTTGCCACAGAGGTAACAAATTTATTTGCCAGTTGTGTCTTTGACTACAGCTGCCCTAAAACTTTTTGTCACCCACTGACAATCACTGTCAACCACTGACAATCACTGTTTTGTTCCTCTTTAGAGGATTTATAATCAGCTATAAAACTCTAACAGGTGCTCTTAAATACAAGTTTCTGATAACTTTGGAGGCTGTGACATCAGAATAGGAGAACAACTTTCAGGACTCATGGAGAGCTCAAATTTTCATGAGTATCAAGCAGAACAGGAATTAGCTATATGACTGAACTAATAGATGACTGAAGAAATCTTTATGACATTCTGCTTACAATGTTGCTGATCCCTTGTTTTGTTTTTTCAAAGTCAAGGGAACTTTTCTTTGGAGCTATTAACAGCTTTTACAAATTTAGTATACTCCTATGAACAAAATGTAGAACATATTCGTTTCTGTCTACCTAATTTCTCCAGAATTTGGAAACTATTGGTGACTATTCTTAATTTATGGCAATACAGTTATTAGCATAAGTGCAAATAACTTATGTTATTTGCCACAGTATAGAATTTGTTTTTATTTGCCACAGTACACAATTGGAAAAACTGGTTATCTTACCAAGGCTTTGGAATGGTGTGCTTTCCTTTATGGTATCAATCTTGACTTGTGCCAATAAAAGCCTCTTTGGAAAGCTGGACTCATCCCTTGTCTATACAGTCCCAGTAAAGGGTTCCTGACCTGTGGTAAGTAAAAATGTCACTTTCTGACAGGCCCAGGAGCCCCAAGTCTCATCCAACTTGTAGGTATTTAATAGTATAAATCTATGATTAGGCTTGGCTTTAAGAAAGCCTTACCTGAGATTCCTTCTATAAAACCAAGTTCCATCAAAGTCAATTTAAAAGCCTATGTAAATAAATAATTATTCTTGATACATGTATATAAATAATGAAGCCAAGTATAATAAAGCAGGTCAGTCCTAGCATGATTTGTCTTCAGGGAAAATGGGAAACTGGAGACAGAAAAATTATGTTCCAAATACCTATAGTACACCTGTTGTTAGAGTCTTGTCTTCCCTAATGTTTTTCAATTTTTATTATTTTCTACAGTTTGGCCCGAATTCTAATTTTTCTTGGCTACAAATCTTCAAAACAATGTTTTTATTATTTTTCTTCTTTTTTCTCACATTTTTGCTAATTTGGAGTCACTGAAAGCTAGGCTGTGCTTTTGTAAAGCCCTGTGAACTGAAGCTAGAAAAGTTAGACTTCAGAAGAAAGTAACAGCAACCTATTTACATACACAAGCCACTTTCATACCTGAAGCCTAATGATTTATGGACTTCAGAGTAATGTGGCCTATATTGATTTTCCAGGAATGTTCTTTTGGTTGTTGTTGTTTCCCTCCCTTCTTCCTCCTATTTTCTCTTCATAAGACATGAGATTTCATAACCTGCTAAAAATGACCTTTCCTAATAAATCAGGACCCACTTATCTATGAATTAACTGTCCTAGCAATTAGAGATCAGATGAAACCTGAGACAAGAGACTCATTCTCTTCTAAAATGCTTTCTCCAAAAAATTTTTAAAAAGTAAAGGGGGAAACTGTGAAAGGAAAATAAATCTTGGGGCCCCCAAATCACTAAGTTAAAGGGAAAAGTCAAGCTGGGAATTGCTCAGGACAAATCTGCCTCCCATTCTATTCAAAGTCACCCCTTTTATCACTAAGATAAATGCATATCTAGTTGCCTCCTTCTTTTATCACTAAGGTAAATGCATATCTAGTTGCCTCCTTCGGAGAGTCTAATCAGAAACTCAAAAGAATGCAACCATTTGTCTCTTATCTGACAAATCTTATCTATGACCTGAAAGCCTCCTCCCTACTTCAAGTTGTCCCATCTTTGCTTTAAGTTGTCCCGCCTTTCTGGACGGAACCAATGTTCATCTTATATATGTTGATTGATGTCTCTTCTCTCCCTAAAATGTGTAAAACCAAGCTGTGCTCTGATCACTTTAGGCACATTTCATGAGGACCTCCTGAGGCTGTGTCATGGGCACACATCCTCAACCTTGGCAAAATAAACTTTCTAACTTAACTGAGACCTCTCTCAGATATTTAGGGTTCACAGTAGTTGGAAAGGAAGTGACCAATTACCTTAAGACATAATAAGATAATGTCTATGAAGGAATGGAGAGAGAAGAGGAAAATCAAAAGAACTTGGGAAGCTCTAGACAAGGAAGAAGATGGTTTCAAAACCAGCTGTTTTACCAAATGTTAATAAATGATTCCAGCAAAGCTAGGTCTGCACAAAGACATTGGGGCATCCAGATTAGAATGCGAGTTTGAGATCTGACTTTTTTTTTTAATTGAAATTTGCATGAAAAGACAGGCAATATTGAAATAATCCTGGAAACCTAGAAAAGCCATCTCTGACTCAGAAGATGTTATTCATAGAAATAACTAACAAAGTAAAAAGTGTTTTAAGAACACAAAAGTCAAGAAAGTAGTATATCTGCATCCCTGTTTCTACAAAAAGTAAAATAAAATAAAATAAAAATTTGCTGGGTATGCTGGCACATACCTATAGTTCCAGCTACTCAGCAGGCTGAGGCCGGAGGATAGTTTGAGGCTAGAAGGTCTTGCCTTCAGTGAGCCATGATTGCTACTCGACTCTAACTGAGGTGAAAAAATAAGACCCTGTCTCAAAAAAATTTTTTATACATTCACATATATACAAATATCTATTATATATCTACATATCTAGTTCATAAATAAATATGTAGTGTATCTTATATAAGGTATATATGATTTATATAAAATATATAAAACAAATAACCTTCCAATTAAAAAAGATATAAAAATCTAATACAATAAAGTTGAAAAATATCTCAGAATATGACATGCAGTCAGGACTGAAATTTATTCCATATCAAATAGAGGAGTAGAAAAATATAGCTTCGATTTTTTTTTTATAACTTTTACAGAGCCATTTACTATTCTCTGAATATTCATAAGCTCGTCAACGTTTCCTATTCCCTTTATAGTTAGGCAGATTCTGTGTTTAGTTCTGGGGAATGGATTGTGAATGAAAGTGCATTATGTCATTTCCAACCAGAAATATTGAAGACTCATTATGCAACCCTCCAGCTCTTTCTTTCTCTATTGTGTCATTCAAGATGATCATGGGTTATATACCGTGAGGCTTGAGCTCCATCAGCTTAGATTTTTGATCAGTGGTTTGGAACATAAATCCCATCAATCTGTACTAGACATGAAGCATTAGCAAGATGTAGAGTGGTATTGCATTAAGCTACTGATATTTGTGGGCTAGTTGTAATGCAGTATAATTTAATTTTTCTGCAAAAGGCCAGATGATAAATATTTTAGATTTTTGTGGGCTCTACAGTCCCTTTTTCAACTGCTTAACTCTGCTTTTATAGCACAAATGCAGCTATACATAATATATGAACAAATGATTTGGGTTGTGTTTCAATAAAACTTTATTTACACAAATAGGCAGTGGGCCAGATATGACACTCAAGCTATAGTTTGCTGGCATCTGATCTAGATTATATAGATAATAAAATAACTAATTTTATCTTATTCATGAGCTCTTACTTGCTGGGTAGTAGAAATATGAGGTTTTAGTTCTTTCTGTTTAAATTGAGAAAATGCTCTGTGTTGTCAAGGGAAAAAAATATTTGTTATTATTTCCATCTACTCTCTCCATCTTTCTAAAATATTGTGTCTTGGTATATGAGAGTAGAGAGTCTAAATGTAGGTAGGCTAAATTAACTTGTGATGGTAGCTGACTGTGTCCTCTGGTACATCTTTGTTGCTGGGCAATGTGCTGGCACTTGATGCCAAAGTTGGTAATTTCTTACCTAGCTTTTTTCTGGATTGAACAGAACATTGGTATATTCATATATATACATTTGTACATATGAATTTAGTCCCTAAAAATATGGTGTTAAATAACATTTATGCACAGGAGCAGTTCCATAAAATAAATAATGTCCAGCCCAAAGTATCAGTAGTGTCCCTCATCAGAAATCTTCACCTAGGTGAAGCACGTTGAGCCGCCACTAACAATTTACATCACCCCACATGTTAAGCCTAGTCCTGTCTGAGACTTTCAAGATACGTGCTTTCCAAATGACCATATTAAAATATCTGAGGGAAATCACAGGGACCAAATATTACTACTAATATTATTTTGCTATAGTTCTACCACATATGATCTGAGGACGACATCAAAGGTACACTTATTAGATTTGGGGTACAAAGGATTTCTATACAAAGCTTCCCATATTTATGTAATATACATCCCTCTTTAGACCAAATCTAGTGAGGGAGATTTATTTTCTTCTTCCATCAAAATGTCTCTAGTTTCAGAATTAGTAAGTTTTCCTTTTGCTTCCTCAATGTCGTATTAACCTTTTTCATGATACCAATTTCGTGTCTAAACTTTAACAGCGGACAGGAAAACCTTCTGTATACGATGCTGTGCCCTCCAATACAGTGACCACTAGCCAGATGTGACTAAATTAGAAATACTTAAAATTAAAGTTTACACAACTGTAGATAGTCTTATTGAGCAGCTCTGCTGTAGATAGAACTCAAAAGAATTGTCTGCCATTGGCAGGGCCTGGAGGCTCAAGTCTGTAATCCCAGTACTTTGGGAGGCTGAGGTGGGCAGATCACTTGTGGTCAGGAGGTTTAGAGTAGTCTGGCCAACATAGCGCAATCCCTTCTCTACTAAAAATACAAAAATTAGCCAGGCGTGGTGGCACCCACCTATAATCCCAGCTCCCCCGGAGGCTGAAGTACGAGAATTACTTGAACCTGGGAGGGAGAGGCAGCAGCGAGCTGAGATCGCGCCATTGCACTCCAGTCTGAGCAAGAGAGTGAGACTCCGTCTCAAAAAATAAATAAATAAAATAAAAAATAAAAATTGTCTGTCATAGAGTATATAATGCCCTGATACAGAGACCCTCTACTGTCTCTGGCAATAAATCTCATGCCTTAATTTAAGAGAAGAATGGTTATGAAGATATAAGTCCTCCCAGATCCCTCCACTTTCTTTCTGTGTCCTGACAAAGAATCACAGTGTCATAACCACTCTGTGACCCAGCCAGCTGCAGGTTTTTTCAGCAGTCTTGAACATCTTCAAGCACTAACAAAGAAATCTAGGCTTAGTAGAGAGAAACTGGCCCCATCCCTGAGCCAAATTCCTTAAGCCCTCATGTAAACTCCATACTGTGACCCCCTTACTGTGGACATACCTAGGGAGAACATCCTTTTTCCCCCCGTCTGTCAGGAGCATTGCTGCAGCCACTCTCCACATAAGTGCTCTTAATAAATGCTTTGTTTGGACTGATCACCCTGGCATTTAGTGCTTCTTTCTTTGGAATCCCAACCTCCCCATCTCAGTTCTGTTTGGGACACTCCCTTGTGATAATTTCTCTGCCTCTGAGTTTCAGTTTTGTGCACTCCTGCTGCACAGTCTATGGGATGAAGCAATCGCGTGGGCAGCAGGATTCCAAGGAAATGGGCTGGGAAAATGAAACTGGCAGGGAGATCCAGCGATGGCCTCAGGAGTCTACGTGGGGCTCTGCTGCCCCCTTGCTTGTTGCTTGCAGACTGCCCCGGAGTGCTGAGATACCCCAAAAGCTCCAGAATCCAGCAGGCTTGTGTAGCCTGACAGAGGGTATAAAATTGCAAATGATCAGCAAGGAAGCCGGGTTCTTAGTGGTGGAGACAGACTGGCTCCTTTTGTGGGCAGCTACCCTGACAGCAGAGGCTCTGCTGGTGGCCAGTAATAAGGTGCACAAGTTAAAGGAGGAATTGCAACTAGGAAGTGGCATGCACTCCACAGCCCCTCCGTTGTTTATTTACAAGTCAGGAAAAATTGAAGGAAAATGGAAGGAAGAAAGAGGCTCTGCTGAGAGACATCCAAGGAGCCCACAGCCTCAGTCCTGGAGAGCTCTGGGTTGCTGCAGTGACAGCTTGGTCCCACCTGCTGGCGGTGAACAGAGGGGAAACAAGAAAAAGATAGAATATATTCACACTATCATTTTTCTGTGTGAGCTTTAATTATTATTTTTTAGTTTTAAATACTACAAAAACATAAATCCTTGCATTTTTAACTAACTGCAATGACTTTTTCAAAATACTTAGGCCAATGTTTAGCACACGGCTGGCAATAAGAAACTATTGATCCTCATGCTCCATTGTAGATCCTTTCTTCCTACTGAGTTTCTTTTTCAGGGTTCAGTCATGCTGTCACTCTTAAAGATAATCCTGGTGCCTGGATCTCTTTTGCCCTTCTGGCATTTCATTAAGGGAACACTGTCTTTCAGCAGGCCTCCTTCTCTATGCAATACTCACTTAAATAAAATATCTACCTGTTTCTCAACCTGGAGCTCCCTGATGCTGTCTGGCTGCCTCCAATTCTTATTCCTCTCTGCAAGAAACTTACCTAGTCTACTTCTTTCCTATGTAGTTGATCTCCACTCTTTGTTCTATGCCATCCCTGAACTATGCCATCCCACTGAAAATTTAGCTCTTGTTAGAATGTAAGCGAGAGGATATAAGGGTTATATTTTACTTAGATTATTTTGGTTCCCTGCAAAATTATATTTAATGATAATAATCCATATATTTATCAAGTAATTATAGGTTTATGAAATTATTTCCCTATTTAAATATTATTAAGATAAATGCATTTGCCTTTATCTTAATGCATTTATCTTATCCCACATTTAGTATTACAAAACCGTGAAGCTTAAAAGAATTTCATTGCTGAAAAGACATATTATTTCTTAAATATTTGATAAGGCCAATTTTTATTTTTCAGAAATGACATTTCTGGGCAGCTGCCTTTGTTTGCATTACTATAAAGAAATATCCAAGGTTGGGTAATTTATAAAGAAAATACGTTTATTTGGCTAAGGGTTCTGCAGGCTTTTCAAGAATCACAGCACCAGCGTCTGCTTCTGGTGAGGGCTTCAGGAAGCATCCACTCATGGCAGAAGGGGAACGGGAGCAGCTATCACACGGCAAGAGAGGAGGGAGGAGAAAGAGGCAAGAGGTGCCAGGTTTTTTAAACAACCAGTTCCATCGTGAACTAATAGAGTAAGAACTCACTCCTTATCATGAGGATGACACCAAGCCATTCATTAGGGCTCTCCCTCCATGGCCAAAATACCTCCCTTTAGGCTCCACCTCCAAGATTGAGGACCAAATTTCTTTTTCTTTTTTTCTTTACAACATTCCAAATGTATTAACTTAAATAACTGACTATATATCTGAAAGAAAACACATCAGAAAGTTAACAGTGATCACCTGTGAGTGCTGTGATTGTAGCCTACTTTTAATTAAAAAAATTCTTTTGTTTTGCAAACTTTCTACAATGAGCATTATCAATTTTACATTTAGGAAAATCTTTAATTTCTTTTTTTGTTTGTTTGTTTGAGACAGAGTCTTCTTCTGTCACCCAGGCTGGAATGCAATGGTGAAATCAGAGATCACTGCAGCCTTGACCTCCAGGGGCTCAAGTGATCCTCTCAGCTCAGCCTCCAGAGTAGCTGGGACTACAGGCTTGTGCCACCATGCCTGGCTAATTTTTTGTATTTTTTTTTTTTTGTGGAGTCAGAGTCTCACTTTGTTGCCCAGGCTAGGGGGACCAAATTTCAACATGAGATTTGGAGGGGAAAAATATCCAAACTATATCAGCAGTATGTTGTCTTATGAAGTAATGCTATTTATGATAAGTTACAATACATTCTCATTTAGCTATATTCAATGCAGTTTCTTGAAGGTTAACTTCCAAAAGAAGTGTCTCATCATTTAAAAAAGAAACTGCTAAAGTGCATAAAATGTTCATGGCAATTTCTGTATGAAGTCCATAGAATATTATGATCTTTACTTAAACATGTGTTGCTTAGCTACACAATTTTCAGTTTTGCTATCCATTTATAAAAAATATAATTTTGATTTTTAAAATTGGTTATGTTTGCATTTTACATATTTATTAACCTACTCATGTTCACCAAATTGCTTATCTGACAAGAAAAAGATTCAAATCAACTCCTAAGTCAGTAATTTCAGATTAATTAAGGTGGCAAAATTAGAATACAGAAGTACAAGTGTAAACAAAGAATTCATCTTAAACGTAAGGTATGTCGATTTGCATTTAGAATGGAAGACATGTTGATAATAATGCTTGCAACACAGTCTAAAAGGAATAATGAAATCTGGTGAACTAAACTAGGAGGGAAAACATGTCTGTTGATTGAAAAAGAAAACCTAAATATGAGAAAATAAAAATAGATAATCTGTATTTAAATTTGATTAAAAACACTTTTTTTCATATTTGTAGTTTTTCAAGAATAGGGTGAACATTTCAGAATAAAAATATCATACATTTCATGATGGCTTTAAGAATGCGTTTGAAATATTTGTGAAAGGTTTGATTCAGTTCAATTCTAAGACTATCTTAGCAATGGACAACTGATACATTTAAGAAGCTTGCTAGACTAATCTGTTATTAGAGATTGGTCTAGATGCTGTCTGAATTACAAATAGTAATGAAAACAATTGAAAGTCAGAAGACTATTCAGAAAACCAGTTCAGCAATCCAGGCATAGAATAATGAGTTAATAGGCAAGAAAGTGGCAGTGGGAATTGGAAAAAATTGATTGAGAAATATCCTGAAAAACAGCAAACTAAATGTCCTGATTGCTTACTTGGAGAAAAGAGAAGGAAAAAAGTCAACTTTATTTAGCAATGTCTAACTTGAGGATTTATAATGGTAGATAAACAGGGAAGTAAGATGAAACCATTTGTTTTGAGGCAAAGACATTTATTTGACTTAATACAGGGAGAATTTGAAATTACATATGGTCATTAACAAGAAAATGTCAAATAAGTAGAATGTGAAGATGAAACTCCAAGGAAACATTAGGGCAAGAATCAAACATTTTACAGCTACAATGTTAGTGTGATATTTAGCACTGTGAATGTAGATGGACTCTTTAAGGAAAAGAGCTAGAATTTCAATTAACAGAGGGATTAATGATAAGATTGTTTATGCCTCCATGTAAAAAAAATGGGAGCATAAGGTGCCAGAAAGTTTTGGGTTGAGTTAAAGCAGAACAATCAAACATGACAATTACAATGGGATGAGAAGGAAAAACATTAATAAAAAGGATATGAAGTCAGCAGTGTCCAATGTGCAGAAAGTTTAAGGAGAGATTTGGGAATGAGACTGTTAGGTTCATTCAAGAGAAGAGTTTCTAAAGAAAACTTACTCTAATTTAGAGAATGAGATTAGAGGTATGGAAATAGAGTTGGCCCTATATATCCCTGAGTTACACTTCCATGTATTCAACCAGTCTCAAATCAAACATACTCAGAAAACAAATCCCAGGAGGTTATGCAAAACTTGAATTCATAGCTCTCTGATTACTATGTCAAATCTACGCAATGATGTGTAAACACTGCATTAGTTATTATAAATAAATTAGAGATTATTTAAAGTATATGGGAGGAAATGTGCGGGTTATATGCAAATACTATGCCATTTTATTTAAGGGACTTGAGCATACGGAGATTTTGTTATCCACCGGGGACCCTGGAACAAATCCCCCATAGATCTCAAGAGACGACTGTAATATCTCGGCAGTAAACTTTTCAAAATTAATGCTCTTTTTATATAATACAGTTTTTATATACTTGGTCATGACTTTCAGTGGATTTTGAAATCAATTCGGTCTACCTCTAGGACCAGCATTTTCACAGTAAGAAATAGAATAAGAGCTACAAGATTATGATGCAATAGAATAGAAAGCATCAGAATAGGATTAAACATTGTGTTGACAGACTTGTGTTTCATTTGAGCATGTGCATGCATGTGTGCTTGTGAATACTGAGTCACAATGTTACATATATTTCATACATTGACCCTTTGACATAAATGTTGAACAGCAAATAATACATAAATATGTATAAAAACATTAAGGAGGGGCAGGAGTCTTGTTTAGCAGACAAAACTGAGAGATTTCCAAAAGGTAAAATACTTAACTAGGGAATATCACATAGAATGGAGGGAGGATTTAATCACATACATTGGCAGTTAGTACTGGAAAGCCAAGACACTGCTGTCCATACCCATTAGGAACAAAGATGTAAAATTGGGAACCTGTAAAATTTTTTATTAAATTTAACACCACCCACATGTTTCATATTTCGTTGTGTTTTTTGTTAAGATACTTTCTTCTTTATGTCAGTTTAAGGTTCACGGATAAATTGAAGATAAATCAGTTTCCATTTACCGCCTCATTTGTGCCCCACTCAAAGCTTCCTCTGTTATTAATTTTTAATTTTTGTAGGTACGTAGAAGATGTATATATTTATGGATTACATGAGATATTTTGATACAGGTATGCAATGTGTAATAATCACATGAAAATTCAAATAATCACATCAAAATATTCATCACCTCTAGCACCTATCTCTTGTGTTACAAACAGTCCAATTATACTTTTAGTTATTTTTAAATGTACAATTAAACTATTTTCACTATAGTCACCATGTCGTGCTAGCTAATACTAGGTCTTATTTATCCTTTCTAATTTTTTTGCATCCCTTCCCCATTTCCATTTCTCCTGACCTGCTCACTACCTTTCCTAGCCTCTGGTAACCATCATTCTACTCTCTAGCTCCTCCATGAGTTCAACTGTTTTAATTTTTAGCTCCCATAAATAAGTGAGAACATGCAAAATGTGTCTATCTGTGCCTGGCTTATTTCAATTAACATAACGACCTCCAGTTCCATCCATGTTGTTGCAAATGACAAGATCTCATTCTTTTTCACAGCTGAATAGTATTCCATTGTGTATATGCACCACACTTTCTTTATCCATTCGTCTGTTGATGGACACTTAGATTGCTTCCAAATCTTGGATATTGTGAATAGTGCTGCAGTAAACATGGGAGTACACATATTTCTTTGATATACTGATTTATTTTCTTTTGGGTATATACCAAGGGGTGGGATTGCTGGATTGCATAGTAGCTCTATTTTTAGATTCTGAGGAATCTCTAAACTGTTCTCCGTAATGGTTGTATTAATGTACATTCCCACAAACAGTGTACGAGTGTTCCCTTTTCTCCACATCCTCAACCAGTGTTTGTTATTTATTGTCTTTTGGATATAAGCCATTTTAACTAGGGTGAGATGATATCTCATTGCAGTTTTGATTTGCATTTCTCTGATGACCAGTGATGTTGAGCACCTTTTTATATACCTGTTTGCTACTTGTATGTCTTCTTTCGTGAAATAACTATTCACATCTTTTGACCATTTTTAATTGGGTTATTAGATTTTTTTCCTGTAGAGTTGTTTGAGCTTTTTATATATTCTGTTTATTATGGGTAGTTTGTAAGTATTTTCTTCCATTCTGTGGGTTGTCTCTTCACTTTTTTGATTGTTTCTTTTGCTGTGCAGAAGCTTTTTAACTTGATATGATCCCATCTATCCATTTGTGCTTTGGTTGCCTGTGCTTGTGGGTTATTACTCAATAAATCTTTTCTCAGTCCAATGTCTGGGAGAATTTCCCCACAGTTTTCTTTTAGTAGTTTCATAGTATGAGGTCTCATATTTAAGTTTTTAATTTAATTTGGTTTCATTTTTGTATATGGTGAGAGACAGAGGTCTAGTTTCATTCTTTTACAAATGAATATCCAGTTTTTCCAGCACCATTTATTGAATAGACTGTCCTTTCCCCAATGTATGTTTGTGGCACCTTTGTCAAAAATGAGTTTACAATACATGTATGTATATATTTATGGGTCCTCTATTCTATTCCACTGGTCCATGTGTCTTTTTATGCCAGTACTGTGCTATTTTGGTTACTATAACTCTATAGTATAATTTCAAGTCATATAACGTGATTCCTCCAGTTTTCTTCTTTTGCTTAGGATAGCTTTGGATGTTCTAGGTCTTTTGTGGTTCCACATAAATTTTAGAATTGTTTCTTCTATTTCTGTGAAGAGTATCACCAGTATTTTCATAAAGATTGCATTCAATCTGCAGATTGTTTTGGGTAGTAGAGACATTTTAACAATATTAATTCTTCCAATCCATGAACATGAATGTCTTTCCATTATTTCTGTGTCCTCTTCAATTTCTTGCATCAATACTTTGTAGTTTTCATTGTAGACATCTTCCCTTCTTGGTTAAGTTAATTGCCTAGTATTTTATTTCATTCGTAGCTGTTGTAGATGGGATTACTTTCTTGATTTCTTTTCCAATTTGCTTGCTATTGGCATATAGTAATGCTACTGATTTTTGTATATTGATTTTGTATCCTGCAACGTTACCAAATTTGTTTATTGGTTCTAATAGTATTTTGGTGAAGTCTTCAGGTTTTTCCAAATATAATATCTTATCATCTGCAAACAAGGATAATTTGACTTCTTCTTTTCCAATTTGGATACCCTTTATATCTTTCTCTTGTCTGAATTGCTTTAGCTAGGAATTCCAGTACTATGTTGAATAACAGTGGTGAAAGTGGGCATCCTTGCATTCCATATCTTAGAGGAAAGACTTTCAACCTTTCCTCATCCAATATGATAGCAGCTAAAAGTCTATCACATATGGCTTTTATTATGTTGACTGATGTTCTTTCATACCAAAATTTTTAATGTTTTTATCATGAAGTGATGCTGAATTCAAGCAAATGATTTTTCAACATCAATTGAAATGATCATATGGATATTGTCTTTCATTCTCTTGATACGATGCATCACATTGATTAATTTGTGTATGTTGAAATATCCTTGTATCCCTGTGATAAATCTCACTTGGTCATGATAAATGATCTTTTTAATGTATTGTTGAATTGTTTGCTAATATTTTGTTGAGGACTTTTGCATCAATATATTCATCAGTGATACTGGTCTCTATTTTTATTTTTTTCGATGTCTCTTTTTATATGGTTTTGGTATCAGGGTTATACTGGCCTTGTGGAATGAGTTTGGAAGTAATCCCTCCTCCTCTATTTTATATAATAATTTGAGTAGGATAGGCATTAGATCTTCTTTAAATGTTTGGTAGAATTAAGCAGTGAAGCCATTGGAACCTTGACTTTTTGTCTCTGAGAGATATTTTATTACAGCTTCAATCTCATTACTTGTTTTTGGTCTGTTCAGGTTTTGGATGTCTTCATGGATCAAAGTTAGTAGGTTGTATGTGTCTAGGAATTTAACCATTTCTTCTAGATTTTCCAATATATTGGCATATAATTGCTCAAATTAGCCACTAATAATCCTTTGAATTTATATCATATCAGTTGTAATGCCTCATTTTTTCATCTCTGATTTTAGTTTTTGGGTTTTAACTCTTCTGGCTAAAGGTTTGTCAATTTTATCTTTTCAAAAAACAACTTTTTATTTTATTAATAGTTTATATTGTTTTATTCATTTCAGTTTCATTTATCTCTGCACTAATTGTTATTATTTCTATTCTTCTACTAATTTTGGGTTTGTTTCAGTCTTGGTTTCCTAGTTCCTTAAGATGCATCATTAGTTTGTTTATTTAAAGTTTTTCTTATTTTTTGATGTACACACTCACTCATAGCTATAAGCTTTCCTCTTAGTACTGCTTTTGCTGTATCTGACAGGGTTTCATATATCAGGTTTCCATTATCATTTGTTTCAAGAAATTTTTTTAGTTTTATTAATTTTTTCATTGACTCACTGGTCATTCAGCGGCATATTTTTTAATTTTTATGTGTTGTATAGTTTCCAAAATTCATCTTGGTTGTTGATTTCTAGTTCTATTCCATTGTGGTGAGAGAAGATGCTTGAGAGTATTCAGTATTTTGAATATTTTGAGACTTATTTGGTGACCTAACATATGGTCTATCCTTGTGAATGATCCATTCTTCTCTAAGGAGAAGAATGCACATTCTACAGCCATTGGATGAAATATTCTGTAAATATTCACTAGGTCCATTTGGTCTATGGTGCAGATTAAGTCAGATGTTTCTTTGTTGATTTTCTCTCTGGAAGATCTATCCAATGCTAAAAGTTGGGTATTGAAGTCTCCAGCTATTATTGCATTGGGGTTTATACCTTTATTTAGCTGTAATAATATTTACTTTGCTATCTGGGCTCTCCAATGTTGGGTGCATATATAATTAAAATTGTTATATTATCTTGCTGAATTGATCCCTTTATCATTATATAATGACTTTCCTTGTTTATCCTACAGTTTTTGGCTTGAAATCTGTTTTGTCTGATTTAAGTATAGCTACTTTGGCTCTTTTTTGGTTTTCATTGGCACGAAATAGGAATATCTTTTTCCATTCCTTTATTTTTAATCTATGTGTTTCTTCATAGGTGAAGTATGTTTCTTGTAGGCAACAGATCATTAGATCTTGCCTTACCTATTCGGCCACTCTACGTCTTTTGATTGAAGCATTTAGTCAATTTACATTTAATGTTATTATTGATAAGTAAGAACTCACTCCTGCCACTTTGTTATTTGTTTTCTGGTAATTTTGTGGTCTTCTCTTACTTATTTCCTTTCTTCCTGTCTTCCTTTTAGTAAAGGTGATTTTATCCAGTGGTATGATTTAATTTCCTGCTTTATATTTTTTGTGTATATGTTGTATGTTTTTTGATTTGAGGTTACCATGGAGCTTGCAAATGCTATCTTATAACCCATTATTTTAAGCTGTTAACAACTTAACACTGCTTGCATAAACAAACTGACTAGCAAATAGAAAGCTAATACCAACTGTATACTTTAACTTCATCCTCCTGCTTTTTAGCATTTTGTTATTTCTATTTATATCTTATTGTACTGTCTATGTCTTGAAAAGTTGCAGTTACTACTTTTGATTGGTTCATCTTTTAGTCTTTCTACCTAGGCTAAAAGTAGTTTACATACCACCATTATAGTGTTATAATAATCTGTGTTTTTCTGCAAACTTGATTTCCAGTGAGTTTTATACCTTCACATAATGCGTTTTTTTCTTTTTTCTTTTTTCTTTTTTTTTTTTTTGAGATGGAGTCTAACTCTGTTTCCCAGCTTGGAGTGCAGTAGTGCAATCTAGGCTCACTGTAACCTCCATCTCCCAGGTTGAAGTGATTCTCATGTCTCAGCCTCCCAAGTAGCTGGGACTATAGGTGTGTGCCACCATACCTGGCTAATTTTTATATTTTCAGTGGAGATGGTGGTTCACCATGTCAGCCAGGCTGGTCTCAAACTTCTGACCTCAAGTGATCCACCTACCTTGGCTTCCCAAAGTGCTGGGATTACAGGTGTGAGCCACCACGCCTGGCCTTTCTTCACAGGATGTCCTATTGTTCATTAATAAACCGTTCTTTCTGATTGTAGTGCTCTCTTTAGCATTTCTTGTAGAACAGGTCTGGTGTTGATGTAATCCCACAGCTTTTTTTTTGTCTGGGAAAGTCTTTATTTCCCCTTCATGTTTGAGGAATATTTTAACCAGGTATACTCTTCTAGGTTAAAAGGTTTTTTTTCATTGAGCACATTAAATATGTTTTGACACTCTCTCCTGACCTGTAAAGTTTTCACTGAAAAATTTGCTGCCACATGTATTGGACATCCATTGTATATTATTTTTTTCTTTTCTCTTGCTGCTTTTAGGATCCTTTCCTTAACCTTGACCTTTGGGAGTTTGATTATTAAATGCCTTGAGGCAATCTTCTTTGGATTAAATCTGCTTTGTTTTCTGTAACCTTTTTGTACTTGGATATTGATATATTTATCTAGGCTTGGGAAGTTCTTTGTCATTATTCCTTTGAATAAATTTTCTACCCTTATCTTTTTCTCTACTTCTTCTTTAAAGCTAACAACTCTCAGATTTGCCCTTTGAGGCTGTTTTCTAGACCCTGTAGGCATGGTTCATTCTTTTTTAGTCTTTTCTATTTTGTGTCCTCTAACCATTTATTTTCAAACAGCCTGTCTTCTGCCGCTCAACATCTTTTGATTGGAATGTCTAGTACATTTATATTCAATGTCATTATGGTCTTTAGGCTATTTGAAAAAAAATAAATAAACAGTGAGTCTTCAAGCTCACTAATTCTCTCTTCTGCTTGATCAATTCTACTATTAAGAGACTCTGATGAGCTGGGCACAGTGGCTCATGCCTGTAATCCCAGCACTTTGGGAGGCCAAGGTGGGTGGATCATGACGTCAGGAGATCGAGACCATCCTGGCTGACACGGTGAAACCCTGTCTCTACTAAAAAATACAAAGAATTAGCTGGGCGTGATGGCATGCACCTGTAGTCCTAGCTACTCAGGAGGCTGAGGCAGGAGAATGGTGTGAACCTGGGAGGTGGAGCTTGCAGTGAGCCGAGATTGCGCCATTGCACTCCAGCCTGGGTGACAGAGCAAGACTCTGTCTCAAAAAAAAAAAAAAGAGACTCTGATGCATGTTTTACTCTGTCAATTGTGTTTTTCAACTCCAGAATTTCTACTTGGTTCTTTTTAATTATTTATCTGTTATTTTGCCAATACCACACTGTTTTGATTACTGTTGCTTTATAGTAAGTTTTAAAGTTGAGTAGTCTCAGTCTTCTGATGTCATTTTCTTTTAATGTTATTTTTGGCTGAGTTTTTTTGTCTTTACGTATAAATTTTGGAACTACTTTGTTAATATCCACAAAACAACTTAAATTTTTATTGAGCTTGCTTTGGTTCTATAGATGTTTCACTTATTTTACTTTCCACCAGTAAGTTTAATTAATTTCATGTCTTAATTTTCGATTTATTTTAGTAATTTAGCTTACGTATAGAAATACTATTATAAAGGCTTCTATCTTTCTAAGTAGATTGACATCAGGTTAGCATTAAGGTTTTGTGTAAGAAATATGTCATTTTTAGGAACTTCATTTAATTCTTGCAAAATCATTTGAAAGTTTTTTTTTCCCCCATAGGACTGACAGTTAATTTTCTATTTGGCATGACTATTATTTTCTTAGAAATAGCTGTCATGTAGCTATGGCAGACTGAATAACAGCCTCCCCACAAAAATGTTTATGTCCTAATCCCAATAACTTGTAAATACATTGCCACACATTGCAAAAAGGCTTTGAAGATGTGGTTAAGTGAAGGATTTTGAGATGGGGGTAGTATCCTTGGTTATCTAGCGGGGACCAATGCAATCACAAAGATCTTTATAAGACATATGTAGGAGGATCACATACATGACAGGTGATTTGATTATGGAAGCAGAGAAGTGAGGCAAAGAGAGGGATGAGCGAGAGAAAGAGAGAGAGAGAGAGAGAAGGAGAGAAGGGCAGAGGCAGAAGTCAGAAAAAAGAAAAGATGTTATGTATCTAGATTTGCAGTTGGAAAAAGAGGACTTGAGCCAGGGAATGCAGGTAGCATCTATAATCTGGAAAAGGCAAGGAAATAAATTAGACCATAAAGCCTTCTGAAGGACTGGGCCAGCTGACACCTTGATTTTAGCCCTCTCAAATGACTTATGTCAGAATTGTAAAATAATAAAATATGTTGTTTAAAAATCACTGCTTGTGCTAATTTGTTACAGCAGCAATGAACAACTAAAATTGCTGTCAATTGTATCTTTCAATATTTTTGTGCTTAAATTTTCTAAATGTATTATTTGTATTATGTTTTGTTAGTAAATTTTGAGAAAAAATAAGTGGTAGCAAAATTGAACCATCTCCCCCTTATGTGTGTGTATGTATACATTTATGTGTTGATATGCAGCTATACATACATACACAGATACATATATGCATGCGTATATATGTGTGAATACATATATTATGACTAGAAAAAGAAGTCTGCAATTTTATTTAGCCAAATATTGTCTTATTTGAATATGTTCTGTAACACAGCTTTCTACTTTATCATTTTTCAGTTATCTAAGAAAGTTCAGATATTACATGAAATATAATCAAATGTTTCCAGAATTCCCTTAAGCTTAGTTTATAAAAAACTTTAAATATAAATCTATGCTAAATCCAATATTCATTTCAATCTGGTGGTTCAGTTTAGTATTATATGTGCAAAGCATGTTTTAACAAGAAAGCTTAAATGTAAAAAAACGATATATTTCAGTATGAATTTGAATGAAAAGTGCTTCTTTCTCTAATTTCCTTAGATTTAAAAAATTACAGTAAAAGGCCGGCGTGGTAGCTAACACCTGTAATCCCAGCACTTTGGGAGGCCAAGGCTGGGGGATTACCTGAGGTCAGGATTTCGAGATCAGCCTGACCAACATGGAGAAACTCCATCTCTACTAAAAATACAAAAAAAAAAAAAATTAGCCAGGCATGGTGGCACATGCCTGTAATCCCAGCTACTTGGGAGGCTGAGGCAGGAGAATTGCTTGAACCCAGGAGGTGGAGGTTTGGTGAGCCGAGATCGTGCCATTGTACTCCAGCCTGGGCAACAAGAGCGAAACTCTGTCTCAAAAAAAAAAAAAGTAAGTAAATAAATAATAAATTACAATAAAAACATTCTGTGACATATTTGTAAAATTTAATAAAACCATTAAAAAGCAAATTATAGGAAACATGATACTTCTATTTATTGCATAAATTGGTCCATAATAAATACTAGATATAATTGATTTCAGTTTGTATTTTTTCTTTTTTATCAGGATTTAAAATTTGGAGAAAAAACACAAATACACATACACACAACACTAATATCTGTGCATATGTGTGTATGTATATATATAATATATTTTTTAATTAATGAGGAACTTTCATTTTCTTATTATAAATTGTCAGAAGTCATATTTGTCTGTTGATTTTAAGTTATCATTACATGATTTGATAGTAATTTATACAATGATATTACTTTAGGATACAGTTCCTCTGAAATATGATTTAGAAAAATAATATATATTAACCAGCTGTAACAAACATATACCCAACTTTATACAAATCTACAACTTAAACAAAAATAAAAAGAAAATTTTTTATTTTCTTATTTAACCGGCTTAGAATTCTTATACAATATAGAGTATATGATGATAGGTGTATTGTTGATCCCAAAGTGAAACTTAAAATATTTGCCAACTAAATATGTTATTTGCTGAGGGATTTTTTTTGTAGATAAACTTTATCACATTAAAGATGTTTTCTTACAAGAATGAATGCTTAGTTCATGGTCCAAATATTATTTTTGCTGCTGCGAGTGTTGTGGCTAATAGCTAAATCCTGAGATCTTCTCCAGAACATTGCATTTGGCTAAGGGAAGGTTGCTTGCATACAGAAATATGCAAGGTTATACTCCATTTGATAGCAGAAAACTCAATGATATAAAGATTCGAAGCCCAGCTATCTTGTTTCAAGAGAGAAAAATAATTTGGCTGTTTATATTCTAGATGCTACCTATGAATGACAATAAAGCTAATCTTTGACAGAAAACTCATCTTTGCTCTGTCCTTTCCCCAGCTTTTGTTCTCTCCTTTATAGTATTTCCTGGAAGAACAGGTTTTCAATAAAGCATATGCATATGAATTATGTATTAGAAACAAGTCTTAGAGATTCTTGTTTTTTCTAGGGTACTTACCTAAGATAACTCCTATTTCTCATTTGCTATGAATTCTCATCATGAATAGTTGGTGGATGTATGCACCTGATTCCTGGTGGTAATTATATTGCTTTCTTCCTTTAGAATAAATGAAACAATGTAGGATTGTGTTGATTGATTTTCAGATGTTAACCAACATTTCATTGCAGGAATTAGCCTAAGTTGATCATGATATATTATCTATTTTTTTTGTAGCTAGGCTTGTTTTGCTCATATTTTGTGAAGTATTTTTATATCTGTATTCATGAATGATATTGCCATGCAATTGTCTTTTATTTTAATAATCTTGTCTTATTTTAGTTCGTTTATATTGGTATAAAAATATGGTTCAGAATTCATGATCTACTTGTTAAAATATTTGAAAAACTTAATAATAATGTTGGCAAGGATTTTTTTTATTGTGGAACTTCAAAAAAAAAATTATGAGGCTGGCCACGGTGGCTCACACCTGTAGTCCCAGCACTTTGAGAGGCCAAGTCGAGCAGATCACTTGAGATCAGGAGTTCGAGACCAGCCTGGCCAACATGGCAAAACCCTGTCTCTATTTACAAATACAAAAAATTAGCTGGGCATGGTGGCACGTGCCTATAGTCCCAGCTACTTAGGAGGCTGAGGCCTGAGAATCACTTGAACCCAGGAGATGGAGGTTGTAGTGAGCTGAGATAATGCCACTGCACTCCAGCCTGGGTGACAGACTGAGACTCTGTCTCATAAATAAATAAATAAATAAATAAATCACAAAACCTGTTATTTTCATAGCTATAGGAATGTTTTAATTTTTTAATTTATTCTATCAGTTTTGGCAAATTATGTTTTTTTAAATATTCATTTTCTCTATTTAAATAGATTAGAATAAAGTTGTTGATAGCATATAACCTCTTTTTGTCCCTATGTAGACAGTATTTTAAGGTGTCCCCCAAGATTCCTCTCCCTGATGTACAGGTCACATATAGTTTTGTTGAGTGTGGATGGGAGAAGTAATATATCAAGAGAGGAGAATATGATGGCATATCACTACTATGATTAAGCTACTAGTCAGTTGACTTTGAATTAATTAAAATGAAGGTTATTCTGGGTGGGCCTGGACTATTATGAAAGGCATATTAAAAATGGTGAAGTGACAGAGATTTTCGATTACTGACATGGAAGAAAGAAAACTATCATGTTGTCTGGAGGGCCATTTGGCAGAGAATGGAGGATGGCCTGTAGGAGCTGAAGACCTCAGACTTACCAGAAGAAATTGATTTCTATCAACAACCAGTGAGCTCAGAAGAGCACCACAAGATTTGGGAGAAATCAGGCTTAAATTTCCTCCTGGTGAGACTGAGCAGAAATTCCAGTTAGTACCTGCTCAGATTTCTGACCTTCAGAACTATGAAATAATAGACTTGTGTTGTTAAAGTTGCTTAGTGTTTAGTAGCTTCTCAGCAGCAACAGAAAACTAAAACATTATCTGTTTCTTTCTTTCTCTTCCTTTCTTTTCTTTCTTTCTTTCTTTCTTTCTTTCTTTCTTTCTTTCTTTCTTTCTTTCTTTCTTCTTTCTTTCTTTTCTTCTTTCTTTCTTTTCTTCTTTCTTTCTTTTCTTCTTTCTTTCTCTTTCTTTCTTTTTTCTTTCTCTCTCTCTTTCTTTCTTTCTCTCTCTCTCTCTCTTTCTCTCTCTCTTTTGAGACAGGGTCTCACTCTGTCATCTAGTCTAGGGTGCAGCAGCAGCCTCGATCTTCCAGGCTCAAGTGATCCTCTCACCTCAATCTCCCACGTAGCTGTGACTGCAGGTGTAACAACCACACACTGCTATTTTTTCTTTTTTTGATTTTTAGTAGAGACAAGGTCTTGCTATGTTGCCCAGGTTGGTCTCAAAGTCCCGAGCTAAGGTAATTCTCCCATCTTGGGTCCACAAAGTGGTGGGATTACAGGCATGAGCTACCTTGCCTGGTCCTAATTTTTTAGTTCTTAATAGAAGTCTAGCCATAGCTAAAATTTGCAAGTTTTAATAGACCAGGTTTTATTATTTATATTTAGTTCAACATGTATTTAATCCCATTATGATTTCCTCTTTGATTACTAATCACTTAGAAACATGGAGGTACATTTTAAAAAGTACCCATTTATTACTGATTTCCAATGTAGTACTATTGTTCTCTGAAGTTGTTCTCTGTATGATTTCAATACTTCAAAGTTCACTGAGATTGGATACAGGGCCCAGAATATACTTTATATATGCTTGATAAGAAATGCATACTCTGCAGTTCTTGGAGACATTCTATGTCAGTTAAGTCAAATTTGTTAATTGTGTTGCTTAACTCTTCTCAATCTTCTCTGATAAATATTTTTCTACTAAAAGATGTGTGATAAAATCTTCCAGCATGATTTTAAAATTCTATTTCTCTTTTTAATCTGCAACCTTTTTTTTGTTGTTGTTGTTGTTGAGACTGAGTTTTGCTTTGCTGCCCAGGCTAGAGTGCGCTGGTGTGATCTCAGCTCACTACAACCTCCACCTCCTGGGTTCAAGCAATTCTCCTGCGTCAGCCTTCTGAGTAGTTGGGGTTACAGGTGTGTGCCACCACACCTGGCTGATTTTTGTATTTTTAGTAGAGATGGGGTTTCACCATGTTGACCAGGCTGATCCCAAACTCCTGACCTCAAGTGATCCATCTGCCTCAGCCTCCCAAAGTACTGGGATTACAGGTGTGAGCCATTGTGACTGGCCTTAATCTGCAAACTTTTAATATGTACATCAGTATACCCAGGTTATCATTCGTATTCACATATGTGAATACTTTTTCCTTTCAACTTTTTTTCATCCTTATATGTAAGGTGGATCTTTGATAAAGTACATATAATTTGTATGCTCTATAAATAAGTTTAATGACTTCAGTCATTTAAATGACATATGCAGTTTGTTTGCATTTAGTATAATCTCTGTCTTGTTTTTCAATGGTTCCATTGAGGCATCTTTTGATTATACCAACATGTGAAAAAAGACATCTATTAGCCTTGGTAAAGTATGAAATAAGAACTTTTTTTATCTTATCAACAAACATTGCCTGACCAATGTGTTTTACAAAGATAGTCTTCAGAGAGGAGATTGATCATTTTGGGTCTTTATAAAGACCCAACTGGGTTCCTAACTGGAAAAATAGTTAGGATTAGGGAACAAAAATAATTCAAGTTGCTAATATGGAGAAAAGAATAGAACCTGATTCCTGGGTTGGGGTTTAAGTTATCTTCCAGCATCAGCAACCATCGCATCTGGCTCTGCTTTGGAAAATGACTAGCCTTGAGAATATGAAGTAAAACAGTGTGTCTTGAACATCCAGCACTCATGCAACAGTGACTGAGCGGCAGGACGTGCTCTTTTCATTATTCTAACTCCTCACTAAGCTCTCCACTGTCTCCTGTGGTTAGCTGGAGGGACTTAATACCCTGGAAAGAAAAAATAATAAAATGGCTTATTTCTTACAATTGCCCTCACAGTCCAAACAAAAGAACATCAAAGAGTTAATCCCATAGCAAGATTCTCTTACTTTCTGTTCTAGGTATCTAAAAGATAGCTGTTAAAGCAAAGCATGGGCATACATACAAACCTCATTCATAAGATTAATTTTTGAAAGCAATACAGCCCCCCTTTTTAGTGAGGAAGAAAAATTCTTTTCTACGTACAACATAATGTGAAGAGGTTATCTTGACCCATAGCGAAATAACGCTTGACATTTCTGGAAAGGAGAAATTCCTTGAATTCTCGTCTTACACTTAGACTATGCCTCAGGGAGTAAGCAGCACCTAAGAAGCAGAACATAGAAAATACTACACAAGAATCTTCTCCTTGAGGGTGATCAGCCTCATCTGAACCAAGACTCACCAGAATCTTAAACATGATATATATTTTTTTATTTCCTTAAGTTAGCCCCGAGGTATGATGAAACTCTTGCATAAGATATTGGCCTACAATCACTGTAAAAATGGGACAGAGGGAGTTTCAAGAATTTAAGCTCTTCAGTCCAAGTGAAGTCTTTAGAGTTAAAAAAGGAAGAGGATTTTCTCTTGCCTTTATGCTTTGTATTCAGTAATGGGAGGAGAATCTATATATTTTTCTAAATATCCAACAGGTTCAAGCACAAACCCTGGGATATAGGAGGTGTTCATTTGAAAACAGCTGTTTTAATTTTAATTTAAAATCAAAAGCAAATTGGAATCATTTGGAATACATAGTGAGCTGAACACTGTGGGACAGCAAGCTAATCACATGGAGATAGTGAAAATAGCAGATGCTATCAAGAAGGGTGTGTAGGGCAGGGAGAAGAGCAAATAAAAAAGGAAGAAACTGATGAGTACTCAAGATTAAAGCCCCGCAGCTGATAACACAACTCAGAAGTGAGAGCTGAGGAAGCAGCAAGTGTCGCACTTATCAACACCTCCTGTCTACTCAGGAGACCGCTAGAGATGAAAGACCAACAGAGGCTCTAATTTATCTTTCCTGGAGCTTTCACTTATGATTTAGCAAAAAGACAGTCATGATTTTTTTTTTCAAAGATTAGGATTTTTTTGTAGTGTGTTACCTACCAATAGCAAAAGAAAACTACATGTTTTACGGGGAAGGTAAAATATAGGTCTTATCACCATTTCCACTTAGTGTAATAATGCTCAGCCATAGTGGAAGGGCAAGGAACAGAGGCACAATGCCATGTGTAAAACATTACAGTATTTTCAAAGTAAGTGGGTCACTACTTAAAATATACAAATTAACATTGGGGCAGCCTATATTTTTACTTAAAAATTCTTCATTATTTTCAGGTTTATTTCTTTTTTTTTTTTTGAAAGTATCAGAACTTAAGTTTTTCTTAAATTCCATGGCAAACTATATCTCTTCTACATAGATTACTATTCATTATACTTGATTATATAAATGTCTTGAGTTTGTGTAAAACAGTTGTTATATTTTATTAAATCACATCTTTAATATTGAATTATTTTTACACACTATAGTAATTAGCACATAGAGCTGTGAAATTGGTGTGACCCAACTTTTAAAAGAGCTCTGCTGTTCGTTGGTGTGATCTAGCTAAATTACCTAGCTGATGGACCAAAAAACAACAAGAAAAAACACTATGAGAAAAAAAATAGGAAGCTTGCATGTTCACTTTGAAATATTTTGGGAAAATAAGATGCTTTTTATTTTATCCCCAAACAAATATCAATATGTGTTCAAATTAATTGAGCAAAATAACTGCAATGGCTTTAAACACAGTGAAATGAATCTTTTTTAGTGTTTTAAAAGTGTGTATTGTAATATGCTAGAAGTTAAATAAAATGTGCACTTCAGTTTGTAAAGTTTCATTGAGATATCTTTAAGCTCACTGACTCTTTGGCCATTTCCGGTCTAGTTATGAGTCCACTAAAGACGTTCTTGCCGGGCGCAGTGGCTCACCCTTGTAATCACAGCACTTCGGGAGGTCATGGTGGGCGGATCACTTCAGGTCAGGAGTTTGAGACCAGCCTGGCCAACATGGTGAAACCACGTCTCTACTAAAAATACAAAAAATAATTAGTCAGGTGTGGTGGCGCATGCGTGTAATCCCAGCTAGTCTGGAGGATGAGGCATGAGAATCGCTTGAACCCAGGAGGCTGAGGTTGCTGTGTTTGCAGTGAGCTGATATCGTGCCACTGCATTCCAGCCTGGGTGACAGAGCGAGACTGAAAAAGAAAAAAAAAGAAAAGCATTTTCATTTCTGTTACAGTGTTTTTGATTTCTAGCATTTCCTTTTGATTCTGTCTCCATCACTTTGCTTATATTACTCACCTGTTTTTTCACATTGTGCATTTTTTCTATTAGAGACTTTACCATATTAATCAGTTATTTAAAATTCCCGGTATCAACAGGGCACACCCATGTATAACAACTACATTCAGAGAAAAAATATGTAATGTAACATACACGAAATAACACAGTGAGCTTATTAATTATGTTTCAATATTTTAAGTATAAGTAATTTTCAGAATAATTGTTTAAATACATATTTAATAACAGAAGGGTCTGCTAGATTATACATCCCATACAAAACGTCTTCTGAAGGTCTATAATATTCCTCACTCTGTGTTAAGTGATAGATCTTTCACAACTTTAATATCTCATTATTCTGTTTCTAATATATTCATATTTTACAAATTCATACAACTGGAAATTCGATTTTTCCTCTCTTTAGTATCTCCAGCTACTTAATGGAAAAGAAAATCAGAATAATGAAAATAAATAGGTTATTTGTTTCCTCACTGATGTAAAACCTCTCATGGATCACCTGAGAAAACGATTAAAAACAACAACCACTAGAATTGAGGCCAGAGAATAGGGTCTGGAGTCAGGGAACCTGAAGCCGTTTCACATTGACTTCCTAGAACTAAATTGAAAGGAAAATCCTAACTTTCCATTCCTAAGTAACAAAAGGACCGGAGGCTACCCCTTTGCAAACCCCCACCTTTTCTGCACAGCAGATGGAAAGTTGAAAGTACTCCTGATTGGTTGCAGGCCACCACTTCATTTACATGGGGTGAACACCAAGTAGCCAATGGGAAATCTCTGGGGGGTATTTGGACCTGAGAAGATTCTGAATCCGGGGCCCTTCAACTGCCGCCTCGCCGGCTCCCACCCTGTGGGATGTACTTTCATTTTCAATAAATCTCTGCTTTTGCTGCTTCATTCTTTCCTTGCTTTGTTTGTGCATTTTCTCCAATTATTTGTTCAAAACGCCAAGAACCTGGACACCCTCCACTGGTAACAGAACTATTCATGTATTAAACTATATATGGTAATGGATGAACAAGATCCATATTAGGTTAAGGTCAGAAGTAGTACCTCAATGCTTCTGCGCAAGAAGCAAAGTTGAAATTCTCTTATCTATCTAAGTGGTTGCAGGGCACCACCTTATAGATGTTGAATGTAATTTGGAACTCGATGCTATCAATACCAATTATTTTCAGTGATTTTTCCCCCTATAAAATTGCAGGTATTTTAATTTATTCCTTTCTTTGTCATATTGATTGAGTAGCAGAATTCAATCATAGATTCACCTTTGTAGTATCTGTAACCATCTCATCACAGTTTGAGTCCACAGACCATTAAATGCAATAAATCTGAATCATATATATATATATATATATATATATATATATATATATATATATATATAAAATTAATAACAAAAGACAAGGAGACATGACTTACCTGCCTCAAGAATAATGACTTGGATATCTGATGTAAAGTCAAATTTTAAAATGACTCCATCTATACATTGCATCCCTTCATTTCATAATTAGTACTACAGACATGGCAAGGCATGCCAACACAGACTAAGAGCAAGGCTAATTAGCAGTAAGGGATTGAGGCTCACCAACTAGTTGTAAATTTTTACTTAACTGGGTGAAAGGCCCTGTGAGAGGTCAAATGATAGTGACCTCAAACCAGCACATGGAAAGAGAACTACACAGAATGGTCAAAGAGGTCATCAATGATAATAAGTACAGAGAAGTTAGGGTTCAGGACTAAAATCACGCAAAGTGATGAGTTGCACAATTTTTGAAAAGGCAATTAAATTTGGAGTACTTCTAATTAACTGCAGGGGTGAAAAAGAGCCATAGAGAGATAGTGGAGGAGGAATAAATCATAGGCCTCTAAGAAAAACATTATTTTCTTCATTAAAATTATTTTACTTCAATTTTCTTCTATAAAGTCTTAGGGATGGCAGAAGCCACCTAATTAAAAATTCACACATTACCTACTAGTCATTTTTCAATCACATTATATAATACCCTTGGAAAAGAAACTTTTGATAATGAATGTATTCTACCAATTAAAGTCAACCAGAAATTTCTTTGATTTACAATAAAGAAACTGTACTTGACTATGAAAGTAAAAATGCTTGATTTGCAGTCTCTAAAACAATTTCAATCATTCTGTGCTTCCTTTAGTGTCGTTTTCTATACCAAATTGGATGTATCTTTATCAGGACAGCTTGTTAAAAGTAATTTGAGATTATGACCAATCTAAGTGAAAAATGCCCATTAAGAACTAGTGGGATTTGTTTCATTAACATTATATTCTTATTTGAAAAGGGTTCTGTTTCATCAGGAAAGGGTAAAAGTACAAATAATTAGGGTTATATGTAATGACTAAAAGTTGCACTAATTTTTCAAACACTCTTCAGTTTTGAAATCAGAGTGATTGAAAAGGCATTTTCTACCAAATGATCAATTTGCCTAACTTGTATTCATTCATACTGTTGAGAACATTTAGATACTTCTCATCAAAATATTAATAAATTAGAAGAGTAAATGCATTTGTATAATTTTACAAATGAGCAGTACTTTGAAGAGCTGAAATTTAAGGTAGCTATTTTCTTTGCATAAAAAATCAATTAAATTCATTACATGATTCCTCAGAATCTACTTAGTAAAAAAAAGTTTCAGTTTCATAACCTCAAAATATTTGTGGGATTATAAAAGAAAGAAAAGGACATCCCATGTTAAGGATGGCAGGGGCTTTATCATGACTGGGATGACAGAGTTTAGAGTAAAAAGAGACCTGGATTCTAGATCTGGCTAAACCATCAACTTCAGTTATATCATTGAAAATGTGCCTTTATTTCTTAAAGTTTAATTTATATGTATAAAATAAAAATGACATATAAGACCAATTATTTTCTTTCCAGCTTTTTAATTATCTATAACATATGGGCATATTAAAGAGCATCAAACTAGAGGATAGCAATAATGACATGGAAATTAAAGTCAGAGAATTATTGTGGAATCATGTTTTGGGAGCCCATGTATGGCCGGGCTAAGTTAATGTACAATTTGGCAAATTATGTGAAACTAAATTTTTTCATCAGCACATTCTGTCAATAGAATTAATAAAATAATTTAGCTATCTATAATGGGAAACATGAAACCAATGTAACAGTTAAAAGTGATACTTCTCCATACTTCTATTGATACGCTCCTAACATCAAAGTAGTCTCTTAGGTCATAGTCCAAAGAAACCCTTTAAGAGGAAATCTTTTTAAAAAATGTTTGAGTTTATCTTAAAAACTCATAATTCCATGATGTACCATAATATGTCCATAGTTTTTGAAATAATATTTTCCCTAAAAGCTTCAAGGTAAATTGAACTGCCAAAAACATGCTCCATGTTTATTCTCTGTTTTGACCCACTGCCTCATATGCTATCTCAAACTTCCAGAGATATGTTGACACATTTATTTAGGTAATACAAGACTTAATTGTGTGTGTTTGTGTGTGTGAGCATTTATTACTGAGAAATTACTATGTGAAAAAAACAAGAGAAAGGAATTAGAGAGGTAATTGTATCATATGAAATGTGCACTGATATATATACACATTTATGAATTTCTTTTGTTTTTTCCTCTCCTTTTTTTTACTAGTCTAAATTGCACGTGTGTCTCTCCGTGTGTGTGTATATATATATAATTTCTTAATATGACTCAATAATATCTTTATATTTACACACACACACACACACACACACACACACACACACGGTGGATACTATCAAATTACAAAGGAAACAAATTGTAAAATAAATGCCCCAGAATTAGTTTTTATATCTTCTTCTACGGCTGTTTGTTGTGTTGCACAATTGTGCCATATCTTCTAAGATTTAAATAGACATAGTTTTAAAACAACCAGTTTTTATTTGCTTTCACACAAAGCCAAATTAGACAAGACGCAGACTGATTTAGGGTCACATTATTAGAAAATTTGCTTTAACCATCAAATTTTATGTGTGACTATAAATCCAAAACTTGAATAAATAGCCCAAGTTGAATATTGCTAAATGCATTATTATAAAAGGAATGCATATTGCTTAATCATGAAAAGTAAATTAACCAATTATTTACTTATTTAAGAATTTCAAGGCAGTAGAAAAATGTGATATATATATATATATATATATATATATATATACACACACACACACACACACATTTGAAGGAAGTTTATATAAATAACCATTGCTCCTAAAGTGAGATTTATTTCATAAAATAAAACTCATTTGTAGTGAAATGTTATCAAAAACGATGTCTTCTCATGTACAAAGGAAAGCATAATTTATGTTGACTATATTTTTATCAGATACTAAAACTTGATTAAAAAATTTCACCAAAGTATAAACTTTGATTCATCAAAGTAAGTCACAAAAATTAGTAATGGGGGAGTTAGTTTTTCAAATAATTTATCAATATGACTAGCACTAAACTTCATATATGTTAAATATCTAATCTGTATTAAAACAATGCTTCAAATTGCAGAAGAAACCACACGTTCTTGGGCATTTCATACAGGAATGTTTTATGACAAAATCAGAAAAACAAATTCTCAGATACCTATTGTATGCCATAGACTGTTCTAACAATTCCATACATGTTATCATTAAAACTCATAAATTCCCTGAAAGGTAACATTATGCTCGTTTTCCTAATGAGTAATCAGACTATCACATAGATAAGTTACCTACATTCACCCACCAATTAAATTACAAAATTTAATTAGCAATTGTGTCAGTTTGAATAAACATTCAAGATTTTGTTCATTATATTATGCCTTGCTGCCTCTGAAACTACAGGAAATAGTAGTTTTGGAATTCTCTTTTTATTATAAAATACTCAGGATATGATTGATTATTGGCTGTGAAGAAGGAAATAATCCCAATCCTGTGTCTTCAATCTCTAAATTTAGGCTACTTCCCAGTTCTTTGCATCTCTCATACGTGCTCTTTCTTATAGTCCAGTTATCCTGGAACCAGAGTTTTTAAGAGACAGACTTGGGTTAAGAATGTCTCTCTGAACTTTAATTTGAAACAGAACATTATAAAACTTCAAGTGTTAAGACTTTCACAGACTCTGTCCCAGTTTTCCAAACCATAATTACATATAAATTACTCTGTGGGAAAACATAAGAGATAAGAGAAAGGAATGAGACAGGTAATTGGGTCATATAAAACATGCACTGATATATACGCACATTAATGAACTTCTTTTTCTGTCTCCTACTTAGTTTTTTTTTTTACTTTTCTCAGTTGACTTGAACATCCCTATATGAAATAAATTTTCCTACATATAGGTATGTCTAAAATATATGTTCTATCCTTGAGGAGGGATATTATTTCAATATGTTAACTGTTAGAAAACCTCTGCATGAAGTTATGATTTTCTAGATATTCATGCAATCTGATTCATGGGAAAAAATTATTTGTTAAATAGTAAGACAGTAGATGTTCTAGAGAGCTAGCAAGGCATCATACATTTTTAGAAATTCTAGAGACAATCTTATTTTTGGCTTGCTAAATATATGTAATGCATATTTAACAAATAGCACAGACTATAAAATGAAAAGTAAATTTGCTTAAATTTTTTCTGTATTTTGGAGAATCTCTTATAAATAAAAAAGTAGTTTCTCCTTCTCTAATTAGGGATCATTGATTGCATAGGCAATCAAAAAGGGAGAGGGACACAGATAATAATTTTAAAAAGAAAAATATTATAAGCTTAAATTCTCTACCCAATAGAAAAATGAATCTCAAAAGTTTTGGTTTCAGGATCCCTTGCCATCCTTAACAATCACTGAGGTCACCACAATCTTTTGTTTATGTAAATTATTTCCATTTATAATTACCTTATCTTACATTGAGACTAATAACTTTAATTCATTTATTTATAAAACAATAAACCAATTGTATGTTAACATAAATTATATTTTATGAGAAATAAGTATTTCCATAGGAAACAATTGGTGAGAATAGTTCTTTTACATTTTTTCAAATCTTTTCAATTTCTGTCTTAATGGAACCAGTTGGGGTCTCATTTTGGATATTTAAAGTATTATAATATCACATGTTATATGTAGCCTCTGGAAAACTCTACTGTACAGGTGAATACCCTATAAATCATCAAAAATGATCCTTTTGAACTGGAACTATAATTTGCTTATTTGAGTCCGACTGTACCATTAACTTCATTACATTAAAGATCATGTTGGTTTTATTTAGCTATGTTTGCCCAAATCATGAAACAGTCATTTCATTATTCAAACTTTCCAAAGATTTTATATTCCTTTAAACAAAACTTATTAGTGTAGATTGTATGTCTCTTATTATCTGTAACCTACCTCTGTCTCTCCATCTTCTTTTCTGTCCCTTTCCCCTGCCTCCCATGCACATTCACAGTTTGAATCCATCTATATTGTTAATATCTAAATTTCTCAACAATGTCAATCTCTCCCTATTTCTAGACTTTCATGTATGCTGTTGTTACCTGTCCAACTCCATATCATTTTTTAGATATTAGTTGAACTCTCACTTCCTCTATGTGACCTCTCTAGCACTATAGAACATCATCTTACTTAGGTTTTCAAGTGAGAGAATAAGAAAATAATAATATAAAGTAAAAAAATACCAGAAATTTTCTTCATTGTATCTGATCAGCAATAACATAATGCTGTAAAATATAACTTCATATAACTTACTTTCATTCACAATTTTGGAAATTTCTCTGCTTAAAGGTTTTAAGAAAGAAAATGTATAAACATAATAAGTTACAATATTTTTAAAGGTCTTTATGTTACAAAATATGAAAAGGCAAATGAGTGAGGTGGAAAATTCTAACATATTGATGCTTATCTGCAGTGTATATTCATTTCCATTTTATTATCAGCCACCTAAACTTCATGCACAGTAATGGTCATATTTGTTTTTTTTCTTTTGAGTGTAAGATTAATGGGGCCAGAGACTTTATATATATAATACTCACACACACATACACACACACATATGTGTGTACTTTTATAATATAAAAATATATACACTATCTATGTATACTGTCTATTATTTATTTTTATTTAGGCACAGGAGTAAGTTGGACTGTTAAAACTTCTCTCTCCATCAAGATATGGTCTACCAGCAAGATACATTTTAAAATAAAAATTTACAAATAATCAAATAATTTCAAGGTGCCAACTGCTGAGGAGGAGTACAGGGTATTAATCAGATTTCCCTAGACTTATGTATTAATAATAGTCAACATAACAAAATCAAAACATATACATTCAAATTTATTTCTCTTGGTTAAATTGTACCTCAAGAAAGGGGAGAGGACTCTTTATTGTATATATTTACCCACATATCTAGGTTGAGAGAGAGTCTACCACGTGGAATATTGTCTAGTGTCAATAAAGGAGTAAAGTGTGGTCCATATAAAGAACCTTAGACTTTATTTTAAAAATAGTTTGAGGCAATTTAATAAGTTGTTAGCACTGGAATAGCATGTGATTTGAATATTCCAGTAAGGGAAAATAATTGGTGTTTGAGGCTGGATGTAAAGAAGCAAGTTAGAAAAGTATTATAGCAACCTAGGCAAGAGATTTTTTATTTTGAGTCGTGGTAATGTGGCACTAAAGGAGTTGTTAAACTCTAAAATCATTAAAACACAATGGATTGATGAATATGAATTGTCCTGGGAAGGAATGTGTGAAGTATAAATCCAGGTTTTTCTCTTTATCTGCTAAATAGAAAATGTCATTTATTGATAATAGAACAACTACAAAATGATTAATATTAGATAATAGCATGAATTCAACATTGGACGTGCTGAGTTGATAATCTTTGGGGACATCCATATGGGAATATCAGCTAGGCAAGTTGGGGAAGTACTGTAGTGTGGTAGTCGTGAACATAGGCTGGAGACTAACTGGATTATCTAAATTTCATTCCCACAACTTGTGTACACTTGAGTAAGTTATTTGTATTCTTTGTTTCCGTTTTATTATCTATATATAATAATGAGAATACTCCATATACCTACCTCATTGGATACTGTGAAAATATATGCAAATTACTGTAAACAGTGCTTGACATATACAACGTGCAAGGTATTTTTAATATTGTGTATAGATTTGGAAGTACAAACAGATGGCTATAACTAAAGCACAGAATTGAGAGTCACAAATATGCAGGTTATAAGTTTGGATGTGTGGGATTGACTAAAAGTACAGTATGGGGTGAGTAAAGTATCAAGAAGCAGAGGGGAAAAAAAGAGAAACTGACAAAAAAAAAAAAAAGCCTGAAAGGAAGCAAACAGATGTATAGAAGAAATGCCAGAAATAATTAGTGTCTCAGAAACAAAGGGGTAAGTAAAATACCTCCAAAGTGACCAATTTGGTGGTTAGAAAAACACCTATTTGTTTTGGAGACATGGATTCCATGTGTGACTTAGCAAGTGCAGTTTTCGTCATATGGACGGCTGGAAGTTGCAGTCAGTTGAGAAATGAGTAAAATAATAAGAAATAGAAATAGATAATAAGAGCCATACTTTCAAAATATTCATTGTAAAACAAAAGAGATACTAGTGAGGTCTGGGCAGTGCCATTAGACATGGTGATCTGATCATATTGATGGAAAGATATTAGTACAAAGGAATAGGATGAGAACGTAGAAGTATGAGAGACCATTAGAATATAATGTGCATACATAAAAGGTAAAAAATAGGTGAAGGGATTGATCTCAGCAGAGGAAAAAAGTGCTGTGTTTTAGTATAAGAGAATAAACTATGATTTTCCAAGCAAAAATATTTGTAAATACTTTTGTTAGAAATTGAATAAGCTCTGGGCCTGCCTGCCTGCCTGCCTGCCTGCCTGCTTCCTTCCTTCCTTCCTTCCTTCCTTCCTTCCTTCCTTCCTTCCTTCCTTCCTTCCTTCCTTCCTTCCTTCCTTCCATTCTTCTTTTACTTTTTTTTTTCTTTTAGGATACAAAGTTATTTGTTGAAGACCATGGATGAGATGTGGGGGGGTACTCAGAGATCTGAGAGGAGTGAAAGTTTGAAATAGTTTTCTTTAGGATATGGGAAAAGGGAACTAAATAAAGGCGCTTGGCAGCTTTAAGTGGTGATTTGAGTTTGGTGACCATGAATTTATACTAAAACCAGGCATCCCTGTTTTATGATTATGTCCATGGAGCAGAGAAAATGTAAAAAAAAAAGTTTGATTTGTCTTCAACTATAGTTTTTATGGATAAATATAATAGAGAGACTAAGAATCAAGGGGATTAAAATAATGGCAAGAGAATAATGAGAAAGCTTGGCTCATGAAATCAAAATTTTAAGGGTTGTCAGCAAATAAACAGAAATGTGTGCATATTAGAGGTACACATGAGGTTTTTAGATGAGAGTATTTAATGAGTAAAGTGGAAGAAATGGAAATTCATTCACAGAATAGGATTTCAAATTACTGAAAAGTAGAGCAGATTAAGGTAAATATCACATTGTAGCTATGGAGAAAAGTTAGAGTGAAGTAGAGGGGATGTTTGAAGATGATGAGACCTCGGCAAACTGAGTTCAACGTGTTGTGTGGGCCAAAGCAACTGCATGACTCAACAGGATCCAATTGTTTCAGCAAATGAGGAGGCACAATCAGGATATTTGTAAATAATAGTCAAAATTAGACTATTGTAGTAGACAAAACTCAAGAAAGAAGTTTGAGTTGTATGTGTGCATGTGCATATTTGTTGGTTTTGTTGTTTATTTTGCCTGTTTATAAGTTAGCAGAATCTTACTTGTTCAGCAGAGACTCAGAGTGAGGAAGACAAGAGTTCCACTTCTACACAGTGCAGTGTACAAACTATTAGAGAAAGATCAGTTGCTACCTGATAGTACTGCAGGGGAAGCTAGTTTCTCCTAAGAATGGAAGAAGCAGGAAATAATCATTAAAGAAATTGAAGGTGGGATGCATTTTTGATAATAAAGTAGGAATTTCAGATAGAAACAGAAAAAAAGTTTGGGTGAAAAAGACAGAGGAATACAAGAATGGAGTCAGTTTAGTTGATATGTCAAAGAGAATGTCAAACGCACAATTGTAAGATAAAAATAGTTAGATGAGGTATGGATTATTGAGCCTTTTGAGAAAAAAAAAACTGAGACTCATTGGGCTTACATTTTATTTTTTTTCCAAGTCTCTGTAGTTACTCTATACATTTTTCTACTTGTTAGCATGTGGAGGCTTCAAGCACTTTATTCATATTTAACTTTAACCTATACAAGACTTAAGCCTTCTGTCTCAAACAAATATGTATTCTCCCCTGAAAATAAATTAAATTAGTTCATACTGGCAGAAAGTCTTTATCTTTGGGAACTCACAACCTATTACTCTGTAGCATGCCAATGGTCCATCAGGTTGCTTTTTGAAGCCTCACCTCCAGAATAAAATAACTTAATGCATAATAAGCTCCCTAATCTCTCCTGAAATGTTGCTTATTTTCCTGTGTGAAGGAATGATTAGGCTTCACAGGTACTGTCCCAAAGTAGGAAAGTTATTTTTAAAAATCCCATTTTATGCAGTAATAGTAATGTGGAGAAAATAAGAGAAAGGTTTGCCTTACACTTTTCAAAAATTTGTTCTTTTAGATATTACATTGTTTTATTATGTTTTCTTAAGAACTATTTTAACCACTTCTATCAAATTCTAAGGATCTTGGATACTTTACCTCTATTTTATTGTTTATACCTGGTATACTAGTGATATTATGTGTTTTACTCTCTAAAATGTTTTCAAGAGGCGAATAAGTTCTGTGATCTTGGTGTTCTTTCAGGTTCTGTGATGCTTACCACAGAGCCCCCTTCTTGCTTGTACCGTGTTTCATCAAATTCTAAATTCCAGGCCACACGCTTCAGTGACCACCTACTCACTATCTTTATGATAGTAGCAGTTACATGATAGGTTCACTTTGCAAAAATGCATGAAGTCTTTAGACTTGGAATTTGTGAACTTTTCTACATGAATGCTAGCCTTCAGCAAACATTTGCTTTAAAAAGAACCCCTTTGGAACATTGTAAATGAAAGCACATTGTAAATGGCGGGTGTCTGAGCGAGGCAGATTATATTCCACCTTGATGGACAAGCGTTCAAAGTAAAAGGCATATTTGCACAGTAGAAAATAGAGGATGAAGTACAGTTAGTGCTCTCCTGCTGAAAATGGGATGTATGTTAAAATTAGAACTTGTTTCAGAACTCTGCTCCCACAGACACCATATTTTCAACAGAAACCAAAATTTGGTCCTATCCCATTCTGACTACTATTATTCATATTTTGTTATTGTGGTATTGCATATAAAAGACTTTACATACTTGTAAGGCATACTGTGCTTATTTTTATCATATGGCCAATATTTAACACAATATATAATGTTACTAAATCAATATCAAATGTTGTAGTAGTACTAGTTTTTTTTTTTTTCATTTTATGGGAATTTTCCATTCCCCATTAGTGTCAAGCTTTTTTAAATACTTTACATTTGATATTTGAGTAAGTTAATATGTTATCACTCTTTAAAAAAACAAGCAAAACAATTTTTAGACCTTATTTAATACATTTAATACTTTCATTAACTATTACAAATCTAAAAGCAATTTTTACAAATTTCTACATTTCTGTTATATGTCAGACATTTAAGAAAAAATTGTTCTAAAAAGAAGTATATGTATGATAAAATTAGAACTCATTTCAGAACTCTGTTCCCATGGACAGCACATTTTGAACTGGCCTTCTAGCTCTTGACTTCACTTCTCTTCTCTCCTTTTATACTCCATTCCAGGCAGATAAACATCCTTTCTTACTGATTATAAAAATCATGCTTCTGTCACAAGTCATTTACCCTGATTTTTATTCTAATTAGAATTCTCATCTCTTAAACAACCACATCTTACTCCATCTTTTAGGTTCCTACTACAATGTTCCTGAGACTTTGACTGAATGCTCTATATGGAATATAAATCCCCTTCTCATCACTCCAATCTCGATCTCCCTTATCCTGTCTTATTTTTCTTCATAGCACATAAAGCCATCTGTCTTGGAGCTCCAGATTAAAAGTTTTAAAAGATCAGAGATATTTTTTTTTCTTACTGTTGTAACACAGTGCCTAGAATGTGGCAATCATTAAATATTTCTTGAAGAAATGAATCAATTTGCTATAATTAAGATAATTATAGTTTTTCAAGAGTCCCTTCTGTTATCATATCTGTGTAAACTGCTATTATGACAACAATTTGAATTTGTAGCTTATAATGGGCTACATAAAATTAGTAAGACTCCAAGACTCCAAGAAACATTAGGTTTGTGAACTAGCCTTTCTAAAACATGTGAACATTGCAGAAACATAATTTGTTATCTCTCAGTAAGTTAATATCTACCATTACTTTCTGGAATAGAATGTGTTATCTGCAGTTTCTTGGTGCACTTCAGAAACCTCAAATCTCATTGGGACTCACCTGCAGCCTATGTTATGTCTTTGCTAGGGTCTGAAAGTTGTCACTCCAAAATTCTTATGGGGAAATCCTAACCCCCAACATGATGCTATTAGGAGGTGAGGCCTTGGGAAGCGATTAGGTAATAAAGGTACAGTCCTCATGAATGGAATTAGTTCCCTTATAAAAGAGGCCCAAGTGAGCTGCCTTGCCTCTTCCGTCATCTGAGGACACAGTTAGAAGTTGCCATCTACGAACAAGGAAATGGCCGTTCACTAGATACGGAATCTGCCGGTGCCATAATCTTGGATTTATCTGCCTCCATAAATGTGAGAAATAATTTTCTGTTGTTTATAAGCTACCAAGCCTGGGAATTTTGTTATAGCAGCCCAAACAGACTAACACAAGAATGTAAGATAACCACATCTCGATGTTCCCTTGGGATTATTCCTGTCTTCTCAAGAGGTATTTCTGTAATGATTAATGAACTTAAAGTTTTTAACCTATTCTAGCACCTCATGATATATAATTAACAAACTAAGCTGAATCTATTACCTTGACTGATCTCCAGCATCTATTCAGATGATTTTCCTCCTAAATACAATCAATCCTGCCTTCTCAAACTTAAATTTAAATTGGCATCTACCAACCGAATTCACAAACTCTGTGTCCTTTGTATCTTCTTGAATTATTGTCTTCCGAGGTTTTCATTCCAAATAGAATTTGCTGATTCATGTTAATTAAAAACCTCAGTGAGGTAATAAACGCCCTGTGAGCTTTGCCTTCACAACCCTCTTGAGGTTAACTGATCTGCATATTGTTTTTTAACCAAAATCTTACGCATTTAGCCACACTATAGCTCGTGTTCATAGGCCAAATATTTTTTAAACTACTTTTTGACAGTTTGTATTCTGAGATCACCATAATCATCTATCGTTTAAATATACCAGTTTTATATTCCATCCTGCCCACCACTCCTAACCTCCCTACTTTCTACAGCCATTTGGAGAAACTAATAATTAAAAGCATATCTATTATGGTCCTGCTTAGCTAACCTCTACTTACCTTAGAGTTCTATCCCCAGAGCTTTTTTAGAATGCCTGTCATAATATATCTCATATTACATTCCTTTTATAATGTTGGGATCCTGATGAATAGAGCCAGTGAATGCCAGGTTGCAGTAAATACAACAGTTTGGCTCTCCACACCTATTCCAATCCCCTCTAGCATGTCTTCTGGTACCATGAATGCTGGAAAGCCAAAAACTACATTTGCCAGATTTATTTGCAGTTAGTCTGCAGTATGATATTTTGACAAAGCAGAGCAACGTGAAGCGGTATCTGTTTCCAGACAGAACTTTGTCGAGTGGCTTTTCTTCTTAGGCATCTGTGACAAAGAACCGGTTACTGGTCTCTAGCGAGTGGCAGCATCTTTAGCAATTGTTTCTGCATACAGTTAAGTGTTTCACACAGCTTCATTTGTCCCTGACTGTATAGTATATAAGTTTGATTCTATGTCCTAGAAATTATGTAAGATAGCCATTCTTATAAAATGCCATTGTGCTATACTAGCTAAAAAGGATTCTGTTCTCTGCAACAAAGCTTGAAAGATATAGGAGTACCTTTAACTAAATTTCCTATTCTCCTCTTCTCAAATCTGTCTCATTTTAGTAACATGAGCACAGAAGCTATTAAATAATAATTTTTAATACTGACTCCCACATGTAGATTTATGAGGGTAAGTCTCAATGATTTCCTAGATTTTGTCTTTCTTTTACAGTTGTATCATTTGGCTTTCTCTCTGTGTTAGAATTATGGGATCTAAATCATTACCTCTAATTTATTGGCCATATTTATTTCCAGAACACCCCTTGGATTCCAAAATCCACAGATGCTCAAGTCTCATTTTTATTTTTAATTTTTTAAATTTGCCGCTTTTCCTTGTTTGTTCTTATCCATAGCAATCTGACTTGAGGATACATTATGGAGAGTGTATATGTTTTAACATTTCAAATAATTGTAGTTTAACCTGTCAAATAATTTTTAATCTTTCTTCATTTTCGGGTACTACACATCGTTTATTAACCTACAACTCTTTTACTGAACCTTTGGTATCCGTGGATATAAAACTTACCTTGTCATTTCTTTGTTTGTTGCCCACGTTCTTTGTTCTATTTCTGACCATCTTAATTTCCAAGGTAGTCCTCTTATGGATTTTCTTTACTCTGATCTTTGTATTTTTTATTATTTGTTCTTCCCACAAACACAAATATGATTCTTAAATAATTATTTACATGCTTTTGTTCATCTTACTTATAATAGAAATACATTTAATTCCATTTAGATCTTTACCTGCAATCTGCTGAACATTTTTTACTGATTTAACTTTTAATCTACACTAAGAATCCATATCAATTTTAGCTTATTTTCATAAATTTGGTACAAGTTTTCAGTATAGAAAATAAGCTAAACTTTGTATTAGACCCAAATTGTCTTCTTTACCACTAGATCCTGGATACAAATAACATACTAAGAGCTGAATAAATATTTATCAAATAATAAGCTGAATTTATTTTCTCTTCTTATTGATTGCTATTTAGTTTCAAAAAAATGAATTTATTTACTTTCTTTTCTACCTATAGTCAGCCTTACATATCCACAGGTTCCACATCAGTGGATTCAACCAACTGCAGCTCTAAAGTAGTCAAAAATGAATAAATATGTAAATAATACTAAACAATAGAAATAAAAAATGATACAGTATAGCAACTCTTTACATATAATTTACGTTGTATTATGTAAAGTAATCTAGAGATAATTTAAAGTATACAGAAAGATGTGCATATGTTATATGCAAATACTTTGCCACTTTATATAAGGGACTTGAGCATCTGTAGATTTTGGAATCTGAGGGGAGTTCTGGAATCAGTTTCCTGAGAATATCGTGGGATGACTTTACTGTTACCCCATCAGTGAGCATTTCTTTACATTAGTTCCACAAGATACTCTCATTAATTGCATTCCATTGAGTGATCTTGATCTTGAATTGTATCTATAAATGAACACGCTGGATAACAGCAACTGCATTTGAGCTTAACCTTTTCTAGGAGCTACAAAGGTAGTAGGTAGGACACATGAGAACAATATCTGGGCATAACCTTTTCATGGGACCACATCTGTATGAGCAAACTACACTGTATGCACTAAATAAATAGAAAAAAGTATTTTATTATTGTTAAAATATATACATAAAATGGTAATAGAAATCATTTCTTTATGCAAAATGCATTAAATAAGTACCAACTCTGCACAGTTCTAATTATGGACATTTACTTTGTAATCATTAACAATAATAATACAAAGATAGGATAAATTTTTACATTCATGGAACTCAGAGTATAATAGGAGAGACTTTATCAAACATTACAGATAAAAAATAAGTCATCAAAGCAAAACACGTGATGCTATGAGTGCAAGTAAAAAAGAAATATAAATTAGTCCAAAAGTCAAGGGACAGCTTTTCTGAGAAAATGAAGGGTGAATATAGGTTACCTAAGTTGAGGAGAGAGTGGGAATTGTTTCAGGAAATCACTACACAAAGTCCCCATGGGGGTTGGGACCTATTGTACTGGAGCACAGCGGTAGTTTACAGCAAGAAGAAAAACAGTGAGAGATGAGTCTAGATAGGTAAGCAGGAATCAGACCACGCAAGACCTTATAGGCCATAGGAAGAATGTAGTTGTTGTCTTAAGAACAATTGGAAATTATTGACGAACATTAACCATGGAAGTGACATAATTAAAATTATGTTTGAAAAGGACACTCTGGTGTGTACTTCTGGAAAGTAGATGAAAGGACTAAGAGTTAATGCTTGGCAAGCAAGAGGTGATTGCAGTAGTATAAAATATAACTGAGTTTCTCAAGTATATTTATGCCATCCTTATTCCCAATCAATGTTCATGCCTCTGGATGAAGAAACACTTTGGTTGAATTAGAGTTTATATATGAAATAATCTTACTACTTCCATTTGTTTTATTATAACTATATATAAGTAAAAAGCTCTGATTTAAAACCTAATTCTTGCATTCTTGTAGATTAATTAATGAAGCACTGATATTGACTTTGCATTCTGGATGCTTATTTTATTACTCACATATCCCTGTGTTAATATGTCATTTTAACATCTGAAATAAATTTTGAAACTGAAGTAAAATTATAGTTTATGTAATTAAATGTATAGGTTTCAGGGTAAAATATTATCATATAAATGTACTCTCGTTAATATTATGGGTAAAAAGACCTCAAAGCAATAAAATTAGGAAGCACAGAGGTATAATTGTAAAGATACATTTTTATTTTATATTTTATGTACTAGCTTTCTGAGTGAGGCATAACTTTAAATATAATTCTCCCAAGAATATCATAGCTATGTGTTTGATTAGACACACAAAGTCACCTGAGAATAGATTTGCTTCAACTATGCCAAGTGGGTCCATTTTGAATTTTGAAATTCTCCTCTATCCCAAACAATGTCTTTATTTTTTATATAGGAGATTTGATGAGGCTTTAAATTCAATGTATCTTGTATTTCAGGAAGGTTCAGGGTAAAACTATGAATCCAGTTTTTAAGTATGTAAATCCTGTGGCTACAAAAAGAAAAGAGCTCCCTAGTTTCCTGACCCTGAGTTTGCCTGAAGGTATAACACCTTGGGGCTGTCAGTATCTTTCTCTGAGCTTCCCAGCATTGTTAGCTTCAGACAGCGTAGTCCACCTTTCTTGCCTTCCTTTCTTGTCCTTAATAATGAACAAATACCTTGCTTTTAATAATGGTACCAATAACCATACTGCTTACTGTTTTTAGATTCAGATACCAGAGACTCCGCTTTATTTAGAAAATATTCTTATATGGGACATTGCATAAATTGCAGAGTCTTCAAAATGACCACAAAACCTTGCCAAAAGAGCTTGAAAAGATTTCTGAAACACCATTGTACTACTCTAATAAAAATGCAACTGCCACTGCTTCTGGCAGCTCAACAGCTGGGAAACTAAGGCCAGCACACTAAAACTTCACCATTGCTATCCAACCCCTTTCATCACCCATTATTTTCTACTACTTTATTATAAAAGAGCTTCTTTTCAGAAACGGTTAGTTTCATTATGCTTCCTTGGGTAATTGTAATGTAGACCTCAGATTTTTTGTATAAATAAGGTAACCTTTAAAATTCCAATACAAAACCCCATAGTTTGTTATTAAAAGCCACACAGAAGGAAGAGACTCTTCAACTTTATTCTTTCTTGCTTTTTTCTTGCATGATTGCATTGCCAGAAATTTAAAATGACATTTCTGCACTTAGCACAAGTTAAAGACTTTTTTTTTTTTTTTTTTTAGTTTTCTGGACACTGCTATACAAAAGGTAAGGTAGAGATATATTGTAATGGGTGTTGAGTAAAAGAATTAAACACCTGCTGCAAATATTTTCAATATAATTCAAGATTTTTTTTTCCTCTCTCTCCCTAGTGTGTAGAAATTGGACTGAACTCAAATTGTGTAAACTCTAGGGATAATGAGACAATTCTAGGAAGGCAGCCTGGTAGAAAAGTTCACTGCTAATGTGGCAGTTTGATCCAAAAGAATTTAATGTGAATATGCTAATAAACCAAGTAGGCAAGGCAGCTGTTAGTCATTATGAATATAAATATATATAAAATTATTAAGATATGTTTATTGTATGCAATAGATAGTATAGGAAAATGGTGCAATAACCATAAGTACTTGATGGATACATGATAGAATATAAGTTGATATGGTTTGGCTGTGTCCCTACCCAAATCTCATCTTGAATTGTAGCCCCCATAATTCCCACATGTTGTGGGAGGGACCCAGTAGGAGATAATTGAATCGTGGGGGCAGTTTCCCCCATACTGTTCTCCTGGTAGTAAATCTCATGAGATCTGACGATTTTGTAAGGGTTTTGCCCTTTCATTTGGCTGTCATTACTCTCTTGCCTGCCACCATATAAGATGTGCCTTTTTTGCCTTCCACCATGATTGTGAGACTTCCCTAGCCACATGGAACTGTGAGTCCATTAAACGTTTTTTTTTTTTTTTTTTTTTTTTTTTTTTGTATAAATCACCCAGTCTCAGGTATGTCTTTATCAGCAGCATGAAAAATGGACTAATGGAGTAAATTGGTACTGGTAGAGTGGGGTGCTGCTGTGTAAATATACCCCAAAATGTGGAATTGACTTTGGAACTGGGTAACAGAAAGAGGTTGGAAAAGCTTGGAGGGCTCAGAAGAAGACAGGAGAATGTGGGAAAGTTTGGAACTTCCTAGAAACTTGCTGAACGGCTTTAACAAAAATGCTGACAATGATATGGACAATGAAATCCAGGCTGAGCTGTTTCCCTTTTTAAACTGAATGCTTTTAACAGCACCCAAGTCACATCTGGAATACTTTCCTGCTTAGAAATTTCTTCCACTAGATGGGCCAGGTGTGGTGGCTTATGCCTGTAATCCCAGAAATTTGAGAGGCCAAGGCAGGTGGATCATGAGGTCGGGAGTTCAAGTCCAGCCTGACCAACATGGTGAAACCCCATCTCTATTAAAAATACAAAAATTAGCCGGGCGTGGTGGCAGGTGCCTGTAATCCCAGCTAAACCCAGCTACTCAGGAAAGTGAGGCAGGAAAGTCGCTTGAACCCAGGAAGTGGAAGTTGCAGTGAGCTGAGATTGCACCATTGCACTCCAGCCTGGGCAACAGATCGAGACTCTAGCTCAGAAAAAAAAAAAAAAAAAAAGAAAAAGAAATTTCTTCCACCAGATACCCTAAATCATCTTGCTCAAGTTCAAAGTTCCACAACTCTGTAGGGCAGGGGCAAAATGCCACCAGTCTCTTTGCTAAAACATAGCAAAAGTCACCTTTATTCCGGTTCCCAACAAGTTCCTCATCTCCCTCTGAGACATAAAAGTTCAGAAAATTTGCAGCCTGATGATACAATGGTAAAGAAAAACCCATTTCCTGAGGATAAATTTAAACTGGCAGCAGAAATTTACATAAGTAAGGAGGAGGCAAATGTTAATCACCAAGAAAAGGGGGAAAATGTCTCCAGAGCATGTCAGAGACCTTTGTTGGCAGCCCCTCCCATCATAGGCCTGGAGGCTTAGGAGGAAAAAATGATTTCATTGGCCAGGCCCAGGGCCCCCTGCTGTGTACAACCCAGGGACTTGGTGCCCCGCATCCTGGCTGTTCCAGCCATGGCTAAAGGGGCCAAGGTACAGCTTGGGCATGGCATCAGATGGTGCAAGCCCCAAGCTTTGGCAACTTCCATGTGGTGTTGAGCCTGCAGGTACATAGAAGTCAAGAATTGAGGTTTGGGAACCTCCATCTAGATTTCAGAGAATGTATGAAAACACCTGAATTTCTAGACAGAAGTTCACTGCAGGGGCACGGCCCTATGGAGAACCTCTGCTAGAGCAGTGTGGAAGGAAAATGTGGAGTTGGAGCCCCCACACAGAGTTCTCACTGCTGCACTGCCTAGTGGAGCTGTAAGAAGAGGGCGACTGTCTTCCAGACCCCAGAATTGTAGAGCCACTGACAACTTGCCCTGTGACCCTGGAAAAGCTGCAGACACTCAACTCCAGCCATGAAAACAGCCAGGAGGGTGGCTGTACCCTGCAAAGCAATATGGCTGAGCTTCCGAGGACCATGGGAACTGACATCTTGCATCAGGATGACATGAATGTGAGTCATGGAGTCAAAAGAGATCATTTTGGAGCTTTGAGATTTGACTGCCCTGCTGGATTTCCAACTTGCATGGGTCCTCTAGCCCCTTTGTTTTGGCCAATTTCTCTCACTTGGAATGGCTGTATTTACCCAATGCCTGTACTCCCCTTGTATCTAGGAAGTAACTGACTTGCTTTTGATTTTACAAGCTCGTAGGCAGAAAGGACTTGTCTCAGATGAGACTTTGGACTGTGGATTTTTGAGATAATGCTGAAATGAGTTAAGACTTTGGGATACTGTTGGGAAGGCATAATTGGTTTTGAAATGTGAGACATGAGATTTGAGAGGGGCCAGAGGTGGAGTGATATGGTTTGACTGTGTCCCTATCCAAATCTCATCTTGCATTGTAGCTCCCATAATTCCCACATGTTGTGGGAGGGACCCAGTGGGAGATGATTGAATCATGGGGGCAGTTTTCTCCATGCTGTTTTTGTGGTAGTGAGTAAGTCTCATGAGATCTGATGATTTTATAAGGGGTTTCCCCTTTCACTTGGCTCTCATGTCTCTCTTGCCTGCTACCATGTAAAATGTACCTTTCACTTTCAGCCATGATTGTGAGACCTCCCCAGCCATGTGGAGCTCTGAGTCCATTAAACAGCTTTTTCTTTACAAATCATCCAATCTCCAGTATGCCTTTATCAGCAGCATAAAAATGGACTAATATATGGGTAAAAAGTCAGTTAAAACTAAACTATTTCAGGGATACAAAAGATATTTTGATAACTCAATAGCTGTATTGAAAATTCATTGGTAACTACAACACACAAATATATCTGTTTGCATATATAGCTTTTATTGTATTAATTATCTCAATCGTAAAAATGCTCCATAATTATATATTTATTTGTTTTCATGTCATATATTAAATTACACTATCTTATGTTTTTTAGTATAATTGTTCTAGTATAAAGACAGAAAAAAATAACCCTTTTATATTATTATACTACAAAATACTTTCTTTTCAAAAATAAGTTTGCTTCCTCATTTTCTTAGCTGACCATAATTTTAATCCAAAAATTTCTGCATAAACGAATTGATTTTAAAATCCCAATTCTTACAAAGTAGTAGGGTATTAATATTTTTAATAGAGTCCAAGTAGTTTGCTATTTGGCTCTGTTTCTTCTAACTTGATGTGGCATTTCTTTTGTTATATTGATGTCTTTTATTGCATACAACTCCAATGACTTTCAGTGAGAGGGTAGAACAATTACTAATTAATGCTTAAAAATATACATTGGGCTTTGTATTTATGCAAGTGATGTTTATATTGGAAGACACAATGAAAACATGTTATCTGTATCTTCTGTGACCTCTACGCATACTTTAACAGATTTCTTTTTATGATTCGAGATGTTTCTTCTCCCTCTCTTCTTGACCTTAAACTTTGGAGTCTTCAGGCATCAGTCCTGGTTTCTATTCTATTTTCACTATGCATAAAATCACTAAATGAATTCATGTGTTCTTCTTCCTTTAACAAATCCCATATTTATGGTTTAAACCTAGGACTGTCTTCTAATTTCCAAATCAGTATGTACCCTTGTCAACTTTTCATCTCTAATTGGATATCATGGATAATTTGAAGTTTCATATATCCCAAACTGCATCATGACTATTGGGAGTGTCAGGATCCCTAAATAATATTCGTTGTCCCATACTGAGTTAGGAGCTTATTAAAAAGAGAGATGCAATATAAAAATTTGTGTATTTTCTGAAAAAGAAAAGCTTGACTCAATTATTTGATTTAAAATTGTGTGCAAAATGAGCTTACAAATACTTCACCATTGAATAAGGCTTACCACCCAGTCACTGTGGATGAATCATATACTTGATTTCCAAGACAGGCCTCTTAGCACAAGAAGTAAACACATTAGGAGGCCTCTCGCTTTCTAGCTGACAGACCCAAAAAGAGGTATGAAAATGATTAAGTGAGAAGCAAGAAGTATTCCCTCTATAATTTTCCCTATGGAAAAATAAATGCAGTGGTAGTGTTTTCTCTAGAAAAACTGGAAGAACTGAGAAAACTCTCTCTCCCTAACAGTTACCTTCCTCCGACTATACTCAAATATATACACTGTCCTTGGTAGCCACTGTCATCCTTTTGCCAAGGTAGGATTAACTGTTTTATGAATTTTTAAAATACATCCTAATGAGGCCAGGTATGGTGGCTCATGCCTGTAATCCCAGCACTTTGGGAGGCCAAGACAGGAGGATCACTTGAGGTCAGGGAATCAAGACCAGCCTAGCCAACATGGTGAAACCCCGTCTCTACTAAAAATACAAAAAGTTGCTGGCACGGTGCTGGGCAACTGTAATTCCAGCTATGACTCGGGAGGTTGAGGCAGGAGAATTGCTTAAACCTGGGATGCGAGGTTGTAGTGAGCCAAGATCGCGCTACTGCACTCCAGCCTGGGCGACGCAGTATGACTCCATCTCAAATTATAATAATAATTAATTAATAATAAATAAATAAATAAATAAATAAATACAATGCATCCTAATGAGTACTAAACCTAGAATACATTCTTGGAGAAGCCAAATTGACTTTTTTTTTTAAAGCATCAATTCATTTCATGTACTGCTTAAAAGTCTCTGATAGCTTTCCACTGCCTTTGGATCTTTAATATGGCTAAAATCTCTTACATGACCACTATTGCATCTCAAAACTCATGAGTATTTGATTTACATTGTTCAGATGAGAAGATTAAGAGGGAAAAGGAAAGATAACTTGTTACAAAGAGATTTTATTTTAAAAATTAAACATTGTTTGGGTATAACTCTGTGGTTGTCAATTATTTCTTACTGTAGTTCATAAAGTGCAACAAACCATGAAGTTACTCCCACTGTCCCTGCTTTTGATAAAGAACATAACAAAATAATGCTAAATCTAAAAAAAAATAATTTTTTTGAATTCATCAGAGAGCTGAAGTTACAGAAGAAACTGGCCTAGAAACAAGTAGTTTGCATTCCAAGGAGAGACAGAATGTGGATGCTTGCTTATGTGGGTCAAACCTCTCACAACATACAAGTTAATGAAAACAATTCAGCTAAAATACTTAACAAATTTCTAAAAGCCAATGTACCTAGTGTGAAAGTGTAGTAATATCTCAGAACTACAGGTACATAAGGAATTCACACACACACACAGACACAAATTATTAATATCATGAATTTAGGAGGGAAGGCATCTCTACAGACCCCTTCACACACTGAAACATAATAAGGCAATATGATGAAGATTATATGCCTAATAGTTTTTACAACTTAGATAAAATGAAGAGGATCTCTGAAATTCAGAAATTATAGAACCTGATTCACAAATGGCATATATGATATATCGATATGAGGGAATATTTCTCAGTAATGAAAGTGAGTATTAATAAATGTAACAACATGGGTGAATCTCAAAATAATTATGCTGAGTGAAAGAAGCCACAAAAAAGGGTTTGGATGGTTACATTTATATATACATTCTAGATAATGATGAGAAATATGTAGCTACTGTAAGCAGATCAGTGGTTGCCTAGGGAAGAGCTTTGGAGTGGGATGAGAGGGAGAGGGTATAAAGTTGTATGAGGAAATTTTGGGTGGTGATAGATATATTCATTATCTTGATTGTCATGTTGATTTCACAGTTCCATATCTCTATATATGAAAACTTACCTAGCTGTCCATTTTCCATGTGTAGTTTATTGTGTGTCAATTATATTTCAATAAAGCTTTTGAAAAAAACACAATTATGAGGATTTCATCTTAGTTCTATATTATGATATTCCTCTTTGGTCCTATTTGAACTTGCAAGTCCAAGAATTTCCACTGAGGCATACTTATTGAATAAATAAATATGTGAATTAATACAACGAGGAATGCGAGACGTGTCAAATGAGTATATGTTTCATGAGTATAATCAGACAGCCAAGTTTTAACAAATTCTGGTTATTTGGAAAAAATGAGAAATTTTTGAATAGTTCAGACAGAAATAAAAATTACAGTAAATTTATACTGAGACTAAAATGTATAGTTTTGTCCAGGTCACACCTATTGGACATAGTCTTTCCAGTGCATCAGACACATACCTGTCTGATGCTGAATTCTCAGTTAGATTACATTTTTCTGCTGGGCGCAATATATTATATAATACTATGTACAAAAATCCCTTTCTATGCTTTTTTGATAGCTATTTCTAAGACTTTATTTTAAAAATAAATTAATCAAATTCTTCAAAAAACAGAGTAGGGGTTTTGATTTGGATTGCATAAACTTACAAATTAATTTTCAGAAATTTTCCATCAATATAACGTTAAGTTGTTCAATACAAGAATCTTGAATTTTTTTAACTCAAAGCTTGTATTTAATTACTTTCTTTGAGTCCATTGAGCTATAGCAGATTATTTCCCTATAAATTCCTATTTTATAGAAATTTTATAGAAATGTAGACTTTTATGTTTTTATCATATAAATATATTTTCTAGTAGCTTATTGTCCATATAGAAGAAATGCTAATTTTTTATGCTCATTTTGAGTCTAGTAGACAATCAACTATCTTACTAATTCTAGTAAATTCTGATGCTATCATTTTTATGTAGATATCATTTGCAAATAATATTTTAATCTAATTCCTTTAAAACTTTATATTTTAATTATTTCCTTTCTTTCTTTTCTTCTTTTTTTTCTCATTATCTACCCACCCACCCCCTCCTTCCTTCCATTATTTTACAGCATAGCCTGGGCGTCCAATATGACCTTAAAGAGTGGTGATGATAATGAAATTCCCTACCCTCTTCTTGGTACTAAATGGAATGTATTTAAATAGGTATTTGACAAATAACTTTTGCCATATTAGAAATATCTCCTTATTGTTTGTTAACTATTTTCAAGTATTAATTTTATCAAATGTTTTGTCTACATCTGTTAATAATCATACATTTGTATTTTAGTCTATTAATGTGATCAATTATAATGCCTGATTTTTACGTTGAATCATCAGTGCCTTCTTGTGATAAATTTTATATTATGATACATTAGTTTTAATACACTGTTGGATTCACTTAAGTATTGCTTGAACCTATAGTTTTCTTTATTGTATTGTCGATCTTGTCTGAGATTATGTTTCATAAAATAAATTACTATCTTTAGCTTTTTTTTCTGTTTTTGAAAAACATTTGCAAAAATTCTCCCACTTTGGAAATTTCTAGAATTTGCTCCTTGTACCTTGACAAACTTAAATTTCAATGCAACACGTGTAGGTATAGATTTGCTCTAACATGAATGTTTGGCATTATATGTCCTTTTACTATGAGATGTTAAACTCCATTAATTTTATGTGCTTATTATTACTACTTCCTCAGATATTTGCACTATTTTGGCATTCTGTGTCCAAATGCTGGCAATTCTACTTTATTTCCCCCAATTTCTAACCCTTCATCTCCATATTTTCCAGTTGCCTTCTGCAAAGTTTCTAAATATAATTTTCCATATCACTTGTTCATTCTTCAACTGTTTCTAACCAGATTTTATCTCATCCATCATACATTTTTTACTTCATCATTTCTTTTCTGTTTTTAAAATTACCTTCTATTCTTTCATAATAAACTTCCATGAAATTTATTATAATTAGTTTAAATTCTTATTCTGTCTGTTACAAAAGTATAGCTTTGTGTGTTACATTCATTTGTTATGTTTCTTTATAATGAGTTTACTGCTCAGATATCAGGTTATTTTGTCTTGTGCATTTATCCTGACCTGGTGGTATCATCTACACTTCTTCTGGTAATTGTTTCATAGGAAGTGGGTCCTTATTGTGTCCTTCTTGGCGAAACAAAGTGATATTTAGGAAATGAACTCAGAATCAAGACCCTTAACCTTAGAAAACTTTTGATTTAGAATGCCATGCCTTGGCATTCTATCTGAGTACTCTGGTACTGGATTCCTCTTTATATTCTGAGCTACTTTTTCTGTCTTAGTCTGCTTTGTGTTACTGTAACAGGATACCTGAGGCTGGGTAATTTATAAGGAAAAGAGGTTTATTTAGCTCATGGTTCTGCAGACTTAGAAGTTCAGGCGTTGTTTCTAGCTTTCACTTCAGTGCTGGGTCATTGCATGGTGGAGGTCAAAGGGGAAGCAGATACATGTGCAGAGGGTCCAAACAGGAAAAGAAGCCTTGCGTTATAACAACTAACCTATTTCTGTAGAATTAACCCAGTCTTGCTGGAGTGAGACCTCACTATCACATAGCATCACATCATTAATGAGGGATCCTCTCCCATGACCCAAATACCTTTCACTAGGCTCTGTCTCCCAAAACTAACACTTTGGGAATCAAATTTCAACATGAATTTAGGTGAGGACAAACCAACCATATTCAAACCATAGCACTTATGGTCTGGGGTTAAATTTCTGTATCAAGGGGACCCATTGTTATGATGACATAAATTCAGTGGAATTTTATTGTCCTTTCTTTCAATAGTTTCAAAGGTAGTTGTTCAGGGTTGGCAAGTCTTAGGATATTTCTTCGCCAAAAAGTAATTAAAAGAATCTGGATCAAAAGTGTTCCTGGGTCCAAGTTTGTTGCTATAGATGTTGTCATGTATATGCTAAAAAGAAAGTAAAATAGAATTTTTTTCTTTTCAAAGGCTTAATCTAGAAGTTGTAAACATAATTTGCACTTATTCCATTGACCAGAATTGCATCATATAGGCACACTTAGTTCCAAAGAAAGCTTAGAAATACATTATCTATTAGGGAAGACTTGTGCACTACTAAAATTTAGGCTCAATAGAGCCTAAATAATACTTAAATAATTAAATAATAATAATTAAAGAAACTTTGAATGGATCCTGGTAGATGGTTAGTAATTTCTTCTAAAAAATACTCTTAGATAAGAAGGCTTTTCTGAATACTTATTTTTCTAAATGCCGTGTCACCAACTCTTGAATTTGAAGAAGGTAGACATGAATCAATTAACTTGCCACCTTGCTCCAGCAGCAATTCAGGCCATCAGGGTCAATGCTTAGGATGTTGCTATATATTAATGTGGTAATGACAAGCAATGGCATTACCAAGATCATGTTCTAAGGTTAGAATTTTAAAATTTTCTCCCACTTCAGTCTTACACTGCAATACACCTTTCTCCCAGGACACTGCTAACCCACATGCTAGCTCTTCTGTCTCTGCTCTCTCTCTCTTTTACATGCGCTAATTCACAGAAGCCTTTGATCTCCCAGGTTTCCCACTTTTTAGTATTAATTCTTCAAATCTATTCTCTGTATTGCTTCTGTGATTTCTCTGGAGTAGACTATATGGGAGAAAACCAAAAGCATGTGCTAGTCACTATTTTATCAAGTATCAGAAGTCTCCTGACTTGCTTATTATTTTAAAGTTTTGAAAATTTAAGAGTATTTGTATGTATACTCCAGAGAACTTCAAAATAATACGTAGAAAGTTAAACATTTGTTCATACGCTTTCAATAACTTCTTCAAGCTTATTTTATCTCATAACCAAATGGATTATTTTGACATTTCATTGATGTAATCTTTAATAGGTGTATTCAAGAAGACAAGAAGAATGGTGAGTTGTAATCATTACTGAAATAGGTCACATAAAATGAAAGAACAACTGAGTATAATTTTAGTTTTAATGGCTAACACTTGAGTTTAGTTAGATTTTGGGGAAAATTCGAGCATATTATATTGAAATTGTTGAGGTCTGAAGATATTTATGTAAGTTCAATATTTTATGATAGAATAATAAAGCTAAAGGGAAGATATTACCTCAATGGATATCACAGCCACAATGTTAATTAATAGCATAGTTTTTGGACTTTGGTGCTCAGTTTTAATAAGAAATTAGATTATTATTGTTCTATCTTACCTTTAATGCAAACTTTGATCTCCATATTTCTGGTGGGATTTTGCAAACTTAAAAGAATAAACTATCTTTACGCAAGCTTACCATAGTTTCGTCTTTCAGTAAAATAAATTCTGTATAATCCTGTCTCAGTTTGAAGTTCTAAATCTCTGGGAGCTGATGGAAGCCTGTATATATAATCAGAAATGAAGTATAAAACCAGAAAAGTAATGAGCATGTATTGTGTGTGCACTTGTGCAAACATGTGTGTGTATGTCCTTAAATCACCCACTTCCAAGATAATTAACCTAGTCTGTATATTTTCACAAGCCTTTCTGAATAGTCAAATAATCAGAGCAAAGCAGATTAAGATATTCCTCCTCTATTGCACATCTTACCTTTCTGTACCCCTTTCTTTTCCCATGGATCCACAGCTGAATTGTATGCTGAATAGATTATTTGTAGGCATAACTCTTCCATACTGATTTAAATCACAAGTTCTTTGTCTCTCTGTTTTGGCTTGAGGAACAGAGATTCATAATTGCCTACTAATATTTATCTTTACCCTTTCTTTTCTTTCTTTTTTTTTTTTTTTTTTTTTGAGACGGAGTCTTGCTCAGTTGCCCAGGCTGGAGTGCAGTGCGTGTGAGCGATCTCGGCTCACTGCAAGCTCTGCCTCCTGGGTTCACGCCATTCTCCTGCCTCAGCCTCCCGAGTAGCTGGGACTACAGGCACCCACCACCACGCCCGGCTAAGTTTTTTTTTTTTTTTTTTGTATTTTTAGTAGAGTCAGGGTTTCACCATGTTAGCCAGGATGGTCTCCATCTCCTGACGTCGTGATCCACCCTCCTCAGCCTCCCAAAGTGCTGGGATTACAGGGGTGAGCCACCACGCCCGGCCTCTTTCCCCTTTCTAATGACAGAAATGGGCTTGGCTAGAGACTACAATTCCAAGCCTCCTATGCAGTTTTGCTATAAACATATATATTTTCTGCCTAATGGGATATGAGAAGTGATATCCACTTGTAAGGTATGCCTTCAGAAGAACTTGTGTGCTTTTCTAACTCTTCTTTTAATATCCAGTGGCCTAAAGATGGTGTAAAATAGCTGCCCATGAAATAGATACCTGAACAAAGATGGAAGTCTCCCTATCAAATCTGGACCTACTACTTCTGTTCTTTATGTACAAGATGAATGTTTTTATACTGTTTTTACTACCAAGTTTGGTGCCTCTTTGTTATAGCAACTTGCCTGACCACTCAATTATACAGCATAAGAGCTAGGTCAAATATTCTTGGTGTTCGGACTATGCCTAAACAGGATATAACCTGTGATTTCTTTGCTTATTTTGCAACTACTCCCTTTAATCCCATTCCTGCCTACTACTGTATTCTTTCAGAAAATAAATGATCAAGCATATGGGAACACGGCAGGGATTTTGTTGTTTGGTAACTGTAAACCATGGTGGGTTTACCAGCGAAACCAACTAAAGTCTGAAACAATAACTCTCATAATTAGGCATGGTGCTGAAACTACAAATAGAAGGAAAACTATTGCCAGCAAATATAAGGAACACAAGAAAAAGGAATAAGAAGCTTTTCAAAGCACATCTTAGAAAATGATGTGATCGTTATAGACATGAACTCAGTCTAAGCCAGTTGTTTATTCTCTTACTCTATCATAGCACGTAATATAAAGGGGCATGGAAAGACCAAGAAATGTCTATGTACACATACTGTATTATGGTTTAAAATTACGTACTTTGTGTTAACTAGAATATAATTTAAAAATTGACTGGAGTCAAGTAATTAAAATCTTATGTACACAATTTGAAATTCTAAACAATCTTTGTATGTTAAATGGCAAAACTAATGTGAACATATTGAGGTAAAGTGGAAGGGCACCTACATGAGGGATTATAAGATAACTTCTATAATTTCTGCTTAATGTTCTGTAGAGTGAAAACATTATTTTTTCAAATATATATAATTAGTGAATAAACATGACTCAGAATATGCCTAAAATACCACCTTTGCTACGGGATAGTAAAAGTGTGGTAACTCTATATTAAAAAAATAAAAAAGACACACATAGAGTATTTATTCTTTTCAAGGGACTGTAAAAAAAGAAAGTGAATAATATAGATTGCTTGCTTTTAAGTGACTCAAAATTTAATTTGAGACAAAATTTGGTAAACCATTCTTATAAAGAGAGGATGAATAAGTGATGAATAAAAGTTCAAATAAAATACCTTGCAATTAATTCTGACTACCAGCTAGGGACAATATTCAGAGATAATGCGTCTTTTGATTTAAGTTTTAAATGTGGAGGATTTCAACTATAGGAGAGTGAAAGAAAAGATACTTCTGGGTAAAAGTAACATACTAGAAGAGAGTGTCAGAAAATAAATACAGACTTGGGTAAGGAGAGACTTTATTCAAAAAGACTATTGCAATTGGGGGGGACCAGGGATCATTGCAATAGGGAGAATGTTCTGATCTCAAAATTTACAAGAGTCTCAAAAGTGAGAGCGAAAGGACTTTTTAATAAGAACAAGTAAACAAGTCTGAAAAGAATTATGTGTGGAGTAGAGGGATTTTTTTTTCATAGTCAGTTGTTATCTGCAGGGGCCATTACAAATATGGGCATTCAGGGTTTAGTTTCATGTAAGGACAAGCTGGGAGTGGGGGAGAAATATTGGAAGCATTAGTTTGGTTTTAACGAGATATTGAAGAGAACTGACATAATTGGGAATTTGATAATGGTTGCCAATTTATACAAGTGACACTATCTAATCCAAATTATAAGTAGGTAACAAAATTGTTTTTTTCACAGTAGAAAAAGTCAACTGAATCTCTATGAAACAGAGTTTGCATATCAGTTACTTGCAATTTACAAAAAGCTGGAAAAATAGCCTAAAGACAGTGAACAGGGCCAGAATATGATTACCCAGTATTATAAGCTCTAGTTTTCTATTAAAACATAAAATGCCTCTCTACAATCACCCTTTCTTTCCGACCAAATATAATCTTACAGAAAGATTTTTCTCGATCGCAAAATAAGGCCTGTCTCTGAATTGATGTGATTATTTACGTAAGTTCAACAAAAAGAATTTCCTATATAAGCCTTTTGAAGTTTGCATTGTTGGAAATTCTTATAAGGAATCTCAGATTAGACTTTTAAAAGCTTCTTAAGGTTAGGACTAAGCCAATAATTTGCCATTAGATTTCACCTGCAGTAGCTATAAATTTGGATGAATTCCTCTATTCCCGAAGTCATCAAAATAGCCTAAGATTCCTAGGTTTTGCAAGAAGTTATCATTCTTACTCATCTGTAGAACTGGGAACATTGTAAGACAACTTTCAGGCTGATTTTCTGAAGAGAGCTGTGATGGTTAATAATGAATGTCAACTTGATTGGACTGATGGATATGAAGTATTGATTCTGGGTGTGTCTGTGAGGGTATTGCCAAAAGAGATGAACATTTGAGTCAGTGGGCTGGGAAAGGCAGACCCACCCTTAATCTGGTGGGCACAATCTAAACAGCTGTCAGTGAATATAAAGCAGGCAGAAAAATGTGGAAAGGCAAGACTGGCTTAGCCTCCTGGCGTATAACTTTCTCCTGTGCTGGATCCTTCCTGCCCTTGAACATTGGGACTTGGACTGGCTCTCCTTGCTCCTCAGCCTGCAGACGGCCTATTGTGGGACCTTGTGATCATGTAAGTTAATACTTAATAAACCCCCTATATCCTATTAGTTCTGTCCCTCTAGAGAACCCTGACTCATACAAGAGCTTTGTAAACCTTGGCTCCGTTTAAAGAAAAAAATGAACCGTATTTCCTTCAAACTGTTCATATCTGATTAGATAAGCAACATTCTCCAATACGGCCTTCCAGACAAAGCCGTGATTATAGAACCAGTGTTTCCAATCATCTCTGTTTGACAAGCATCTCTGCAAATAATGAAATTGGACAAAAAAAAAAGTTTATGAATTCTGGAGGGGTTGGTCATGGAGAAAAGACAAATGTTTTGTTTTGTTTTGTTTCTGTGTACAAAAGCATAGTCTACAAATGTCATGAGTTATATACATAACTTGAGAAAACAAAAAAATATTTTTTATATACAGAACATAGGACACTAAAATATTGGCAATATTCCAGACAAAATCTATAATCATCCTTCATCATTTAATTCAATTCTGTGTACTTAAGTCTTATTCCACTCAGTCTTCAGTTAGCAATCCCATATGTCCATCTGCTTCTCCACTATAATTCTGGAAATCCTGACTCAGTCCAATGGTGTGGTCTTAAAGTTGTTTAAATAATGCCATAAGAACCTTATGTCTGGGAGTACCTGGCAAAATTCCTTTCCATGAGTCTCTGCAGCAATTTTCTTTGTTAAAAATGAAGCACTCTGACAGGTATCTGATTTGCAAGCACTTTAAGGTAAGCATCAGACTAAAACCAAAATCCTTCTATAGTGTCACAAAACTGAAAAATTGTTATGGTTAACTTCGATAATTTTTAGAAGTAGAAAATTTATTGAAAGTTCTTTAAAAAATAATGCAACTGACCAGAATTTTTTTTTGAGGCATGTGTGTGAAATAAAGTCAATCCAAAATAGTTTTAGACAAAATACCTATAAACATAATAATCAACTATATTTTCAAATTAAAGTGAATATTACATCTAACTTATAAAAATGAATATATTCTTAACAGAGAAAAACATCTTCAAATACAATGTCTAACAATTATGAGACACATTATGAATATCTATAGCTAGAATATATAAAGAATACTTCAATATTTCCAAACAAAGAGATTTAGTAAGTTTGAAGTAGGTCCTAAATATCTATATATTTTTTTAAATGACACAGGTAAGTAACCCGAATACCCAGTTGAAAACTATTAGCCCAGAATACACTGGTTTCAAATTGAAGAAGTGAAACTAAGACCAAATTAACATAAATAACTGCAAGTATGAATGATAACACTATATTGTCGTATAACATCAAGCAAAGCAGCACCAGGATTCTGAAAAATAGAAATATATCATCGATGGCAAGGGCATCAGTAAGTCTTGAGGAACTTCATACAATTTCTGAAATACTTATTTTAATAATGTTTTCTCCATACAATAAATTTAACCAAGGGAATGCTTACCATCTCGTCTGATTGGATAATAGCTCCCTTGCAACTTATGTCAAGTAATCTGAATTATTTGTAGCACCTTTCTTTTTAAGAGGTAAAAGAACAACTCATTTCTGATTCCTAGGGCATTCTGGGAACTCTCAAAGACAATTTTATCTGCAAAAGATATCACTTAGAATTTGATTTGAGAAAGCGAAAATATCGAAAGTTGTAAGAAGGTATGAAAACTTGATTAAATTGGATTCTGGACTAACAAAATACTTGGCTACCTATTTAATCAAAGAGTCAACAAAAGATTTTAAAAGCTAGCGAAAAATGTAACATGATTGTAAAGAGCCTTAGTTCTTTCAAAGGTAAACAGATGATCTTCTAAAATATTCAAGGATTAAAAAAGTGAACAAAAGCAGAATAAATTTTTCTGATAAAAGTCAGAATTTTCGCCCTCTAGGTAGATTACCCAGAAGTTAAAGAAAAACATTCTGTAAACTCTTACTAAGGGTAGACCAATAATCGAACAAGCTCTTGTCATTTTAACAGAGCTAAATACAACTACTAGTTTTGTATCAGTATATTTGATACTAAAGTTCTTTTTTTATACATAAACCCATGAAATCTTAGCTAGCTTTGACCACAACAGATAAAATTCATTTTCTATAAACGTTCTACAACTTTCTATATTCATTCAAATTTTGACCTATACTTTCCTCTTTCTCCTTCTGGAAGAAGCAGTCATTTTACTTTAAGACAAAGCTACTCTTTTTCTTAACAAAAACAAATACTTTATGCTTTGCATGCTAATGATTTTCCTTTCTGTCATTATTTCTCCCAATAGGTTCTTATTTAATACATTGTTGGTTACAACTTTTAACTACAATAACTTTTATTCTACAGATGAAACTATAAAGAATTGTGAATTGTCTTTCCCAGCACAAATATTCTGTAGCTGATAAGCAGATCTTACAAATACACATCTCACAGCTTTTCTTGTGAATATTAAAAATTATTTATGAGTGTCTCTTATAATAAGCATCTCATTAAACAGCATCATCACTCATCTTTTCAACAGAATTGTGAAGTCACTATTACTTTTTTATTTTCAGTTTTTTATTATTATACTTTAAGTTCTGGGATACATATGCAGAACGTGCAGGTTTGTTACATCGGTATACATGTGCCGTGTTGGTTTGCTGCACCCATCAACTCATCATCTAATGCTCTCCCTCCCCTAACCGCCACCCCCTGACAGGCCCTGGTGTGTGATGTTCCCCTCCCTGTGTCCATGTGTTCTCATTGTTCAATTCCTGCTTATGAGATCTCACATCTTTTTATAGCCATATGCTTCCTTATAGTATAACTTCTCAATTTAGTAAAAGTGAACATATTTATTAAAACACAGATCAAACCTCTAGCTATCTATATCACTACTAACTACCATAAAAATAAATGGCAAAAAGTATGTGAAGTTAAAATATTTTGAATTAGTTTCTATAAAATACTTTTGAAAGTATTAAAAGTTCAATTTTCTTAGTATCTGGGAACTATAGAAAGATTTAATTCATAAATGCTTATTTATCACTAAGTCAATAAGAATAGAGTTCCTTTAAAATTTTTAAATACAATAATTTGGTAATAACATCTGAGGGTAGGAAAATATTACATGCATATAACATACACACAAAAATACACACAAGTGTTGAAAGTTTGATTTTCTTAATCTCTTGAAATTATAGGAAGATTTAATTTATTTAAGTGCTTATTTATTACTAAGCCAATAGGAATAGAGCTCCTTAAAATTTTTTTAAATTCAATACTTTGGTAATAACATCCGAGGCTGATAAAATGTCACACACATATAAAATACATACAAAAATACACACATACATTTATAAGCATCCAGACAGACACAAATAGCATAGAGCTTCAATTGTAAAATTGTAGATAGGAATCATGGATAAAAACAGAAAAACAAATCTTTCTGCTTCATATAACAGATCTGGCCCTCCTCCTTCCTCCACCTTTATATTTTTACTAAGATTGTGTTTTTATCAGACAGAACAAATTGAGGTTACCTGGTCAAAGTGAAGGATAAAGTGTCTTCACCAATATGCATGGATCAGATTTTTAAGATTTTCTTTGCCTTGATGTGTAATCTGACGAAGGATGTGAACTCAGTTTTGGCTGAGAGACTGAGGAGAAAACAAGTGGCCATTGGGGTATCTCGAAAGCCCATCTGAGTGGAAAAGAGATTCAGCATGTCTCCAATTAGCCCTTTAAGTCTCAGGGGGTCCATCTCAGGGTTCCTGACCTCCTCATGAGGCCAGGGTGGGGAGGGAGCCTGAAGCTTGAGTGGCCATAGAGATGACGTGATGGGCCAGAATGGGAGATCACAGGTCTGGGAAGTTTGGATAGAGAAGTGGAGAAGGTAGGGTGTTCAAGGAGTCAGATCAAGGATTCAAGGGAGGTAAACAGAGGTCCAAAGTGGTAAAGAGAAGAAAGGGGAAGTAAGGGTGATTATAAGAGGGAAGTCTTAGAGGAGCCAGTGTGGCATGATCCCGTTTCCCAAGAGGTCATTGAAGTCCTAAGTTTTTTTTTTTAATGAAATATTGCATTTTTGAATATATTGAACTGAATCAGTGCCTTACTAGTGAAGCACATAACTTGTTGCAGAAGAAGAGAGATGGTGCCAATTGATTAAAAATTACCCATGGGATTAAGATAATTAAATAAGAGATAAGATCTTTAAAAACTGGGAAAAAGTACCACTGAAATATTCCCTTGCAGGGTCCCCATCCTAGCAGCCAAAGCTCAACTCCCATTCCCCAGTGCAATCCTCACTAGAAGAGCCAAGGAAATAACCTTGCTCAATCCTCACTATAGGAACAAAGGAAAGACATAAAAGGTCTCACAGGAGGGTCAAAGAAAACTCTCTGCCTGAAAAAAGTAACATCAACTCCTTACTGAGCTTCTACAGTAAGTACAACTGCAGTACTGGATTAGGAGGTGAGACTCACCACCAGGGACCCTGATTTCCCTAGCCAGGTAAAAATACAAAAGATCCAAGAAGCTGGCACAAATACCTAGGAGAAGAAAGTGGGATCCCAGGAAGTCAGCACTCCACCCAAGTCACAATACCAGAAAACTGTCAAACGAAACAAACTCAGGCTTAGGTTAAAGAAAAAAAAAAAAAGAAAGACTTCATTCCAAAGACTACTACCACAGGGGAAATACTCTGACCATTAGAGCTACAAGTACCTTGCAGGTCAGAAAGAAGGGGCTTTCCTTTTATAGGGAGGAATAGTTGATGCTAGAAAGACCAGGTATGGGGGAATGGAAGAGCAGATGGTGTGAGTTTTGATTAAGGAAGGTTTTTCTCTGCAGACATATGACTCTCAGGTGGAGCCATTATGGAGTTTTTCTGTGTTTCAGAGCTTGTTTAATCTCAGGAGAGAGTCAAGGTTCCAAGGTCTCCAGTCAAGGAGAGAAGCCTAACTAAACTTCAGTCAAGTTAGAGGGCATTCTTTGCAGATTGGCTAGGGGACAAACAGCTCAGCTAAATATTAATGAGCCAAATAATGGGAATTTGAAGGGTCTATGTCTGGCCTTTACACAGGTAAACAAGGGTATCATCCACAAGCCTTAGTTAAGTCATATGGAGAAGGGCCATTCTTTTTAGTAAACTATATCCTGGAACTCAAAAGGGTGGGAGTTTCTGAATCACTATTGTTTTCAGGAGGAGAGGGCTCAAGTAAATTTCAACATTGTCAATATGAAGTAATTATAAAAACACATGTAATATTTGATTACTATTTGAAATATCAAAATTGAGTGTTTTCTAAATATGAATCAATGATCATTTAAAAGTGAATAATTTACTGTCTATGACCATACCACTCTGAATGTGCCCAGTCTCATCTGAACTCAGAAGTTAAGGAGAGTCTGGCCTGGTTAGTACTTGGATGGGAGACTGGGTGCTGTAGGCTTATAAAAAATTGGTAAACAATTATGAAATTGACTAAAATATTGGTGTATCTAATACCCAGGTTTTACAAAACCAACAAAGGCATTATGATGAATAACAAAAATTTGTAACTTTCTTAACTATCCAAAGAATAAAAATTTTATTAACAAAACAAAATTAAAAGAAGTCATAAAACTTAACTGTGAAAATAAGATTGAAATAACCTTTTCTATGAATACACAAATATGCGTTACAGAATTGGCTCAACTTTTTCTTAAAATTCTGACAAAGCTACAGAAATAATAAAATAGTCATGGCTTTCAACCTTGGAAATTTTAGTTTCACTTCCAGTCTCTCCATATCAGCGAGTTTAAGAATAATGAAAAATTTAACAATAATTAATGGGTCTTTAAAATGTTTCTTCAGTTGAAGGAAGGCATATGCTAATTGCGTCCCTGCCTGGGTAGAAGCATGGGAAGTGTACAGAGAAGAAATCTATGTGAGCTCAACCACGATGTGAACATCTATAGTTGTTTTCACGGAGTACACATTGTTTGCAAATACTTCGTATTAATTGTGATTTGCTCATAAGAATGTTTACTTTCAATTCTGGGCCTAAGACTAAATGTTAAAGCTTGTATTTCATGACTAAGAAGGGAATTATTCTGTCAGGCTCAGTAACAATCATAGCAGTTATTTGATTACTAGGTTGAAGGTTTTTTTTACCTACCTGGAGCTGTTATTTAAATTATACTTTAAGGTTTTATTGTCTTGACTCTTAACAATGCCAAATCCATCTCCCATTTCAATTCTCTTTTTCCCTTAAGTCGTATCTGTCCTTTTGCTTTATTTCAAGCAGTAAGTCTATTAAATACTATGCACAGAGTCCACAAATTGCTACCAGAAGTCACTGTTTATTGCTACTAAAAAATCAATTGCAGGTTAGATATTTAAATGTGATTATTTGGACATTGTATATGTTGGCTCCAAAATGGTATCCTATATAACCTTTCTTACTAGTTATAAAAACAAATAAGTTGGAGAAAACTATTATGATAGTTGAATATTGGAATTAGCATCATTAATTTCAAATAAAACATGAATAATATTTTTCAATATAATAGTTTTTTAAACATTAAATTGAGGACCACTTTTCAAATTTCAATCCAGTTGATAAGGCTTGATGGAAAAGTGAATAAAACTCTGTATTTGATAATAAAAGGTTGGAGTATTTCTGGTTTTGTCATTTCCTAAGTAAATTTACTCTATCAGTTTTTAAAAATGTAACTCAAATAGAGGTATAATACTAGTTGATAACACTGTTATGAATACTAAATCAGATCAAATATGTCATAGAGCAGCTGAGATGATTTGTAATATTAATGAGGTTAGTTTAAATATCATACATACCCCAAAAGTCTTATTTCCTGCTTAGTGAAAACGACTTATTTAAATACATGATAAAAGAGTTGCCTCATTAAATACAATAATCTGATTGGAAACTGGTCATTCTTAATCAGAATTATCAAGTGCTTTTGGTGCTGAGCAGATCTGACCAGATTATTTCTAATAGTGCAGTGCTAGGAATAAAAGCCAGCATACTTTTACATCTAATATTGAAATCACTGTAAATGTTCTTTTGCTGGTATTATAAATGTTGCTACTCAAGGTTCGTTCATTCGTGTATGGTTGAATAGGATAAATAGGATAAACTATTTTCCTCCTCACTTCCCTAGCCCCACAAGAACCCTGACATTGCCTTCTGGCCAGAATTTGGCTAACATTACAACTGGGGATGCAGTAGCCTCAAGAGGGTACTTGAAATTACAACTACATCACGCCTGTAATCCCAGCACTTTGGGAGGCTGAGGCGGGCGGATCACAAAGTCACGAGATCGAGACCATCCTGGCTAACACTGTGAAACCCCGTCTCTACTAAAAAAAAAATACAAAAAATTAGCTGGGCATGGTGGCAGGAGCCTGTAGTCCCAGCTACTCGGGAGGCTGAGGCAGGAGAATGGTGTGAACCTGGGAGGGGGCTTGCAGTGAGCCGAGATCGTACCACTGCACTCCAGCCTGGGTGACAGAGCAAGACTCCATCTCAAACAAAAAAAAAAAAAAAAGAAATTACAACTACAGCAAGTAAATACTATGAACCTAAACTGGAGACTTCATGAACATAATGGAAAGGGAATTCAGGCAGTCTAACCTTACACAAAACCTAATAACTAGTCCAAATATTGCTCACCAGTGTCATTCAAGGCTTTACTTTCTGGTTTTCTGCTGATACCTGTGTAACAGACAGTGGCAACTTCTTATGTAGTGCCAACTGCAGCCCTGAGACACGATGGTGAAGGTTGGAGTAAACGGATTTGGCCATATCAGGTGCCCGGTCACCAGGGCTGTTTTTATCACTATCACAGTGGATACTGTTACCATCAATGACTCCTTCACTGGTCTCAACTTTATTGTCTATATGTTCTAGTATGATTTTATCTATGTCAGGTTCAATGACACAGTCAAGGCTGAGAACAGGAAGCTTGCCATCAAAGGGAAGCCCATGTCTATTTTCCAGGAGTGAGATCCCACTATCAAATAGGGTGATGTTGGTGCTGAATATGTTGTGAAGTTCACTGGGGTATTCAGTATCTTGAAGAAGACTGATGATCATTTGAGGGGTGGAGCCAAAGCGGTCCTCATCTCTGCCTCATCTGCTGATGCCCCATGTTTGTGATGAGTGTGAACCATGAGAAACATGGCGTTTCCCTCAAGATCTTCAGCAATGTCTCCTGTACCACAAACTGCCTAGCACCCCTAGCCAAGTTCATTCATGACAACTTTAGCATTATGTTGGAACTTATGACCACATTCCATGCCAATACTACCACCCAGAAGACACTCTGGGAAACGGTGGCATGACACCTGTGAGACTGCTCAGAACGTCATTCCTGCATATACTGTTGTTGCCAAGGCTGTGGACTAAGACAACCCTGAGCTGAAAGGAAAGCTCACTGACATGCACTTCTGTATCCCCACACCCAGTGTGTTGGTTGTGGATCTGATCTTTCATCTGGAAAAGCTGCCAAATATAATAGCATCAAGAAGATGGGGAAGCATGAATTATAGGGCACCCAGAAGGCATCCTGGGCTAAGCTGAAGAAGATCAGGTTGTCTCCTGTAGCTTTAAAAGTAAAACCCACTCTTACACCTTCAATGTTTGAGCTGGCATTTTCTTCAACAACTATATCATTAAGTTCATTTCCTGATGTTACAGTGAATTTGGCTGTAGTAATAAGGTGGTGGACCTTGTGGCCTACCTGGCCTCCATGAAATAAGAGCCCCCTGAACAATCAGACCCAACATGAGTATGAGAGGAAGAGAGAGGCTCACAGCTGGCAAAGTCCCTGCCCCAAATCAGTCCCCTAACACACTGAGGATATCCCCTCCTTGACATAGTTTTTATCTCTGACCTCTTGAGGATGAGGGACTTAGGGTGCCCTACTATACACAAGAAAAAGAAAAAGATAACTTTCCTGATATAGGACAGAAATTCCATTTTAAAACATATAAACACTTTTCAAATACCTACTTAATGTCTTCCAGAACTTTATCCCACAGACTATGTTGGATAAGGTGTCCCTGCCTGGCAAAAAATGTACATGCGGTGCTCTATCTCTAATCCAGAAGTATTAACATTTCTTTTTGTTACCCTACAATTTTTCACATATGTTCAATCTACCTAGATTACCTTTTTTTCAATGCCTTTCAATCTTGTGAACTCCTACTCAACCTTTAAATTTTGGTTCAAATATCTTCTTGCTTAGATAAGTGTATATGATATCTGTAGACAGAGTTTCTATAGCATTTGTCATTTTGTAACAGTTATATTATAGTCTTCACGAAAATGATGAAGCATTGTATTATTTTCATCACTTTTCAATATCTCCACCCTATCACAGTGCCTAGCATAGAGAAGATTCCCAATCAACATTGGCTAAATAAGTGGTGGTTTAATAAATATTTCTTTAGGATCTACTATGTAACAGACATTGTTCCCGGTGTTATAAACAGAAGATTCAACCAAACAGCAGTTTGTTTTGTAAGTGTGTGTGTTTGTGTTAACCTCTATTGGGGGTCCTAGTTGGCTTGTTCATCCCAGGAACCTGAGCATTTCAGTTTTGTTAGGGTTAGATTCCGACAGGCCTTTCTGTGCATGGAGTCCTGAGGAGCCCCTAGGGAAATTCTGTAATTTCCCAAGTTGGAACATATGATAAACTGTAGTCTTTTGTACTTACACAGTTAAGTACAAAAATAGAAACCTCCTATTCTGATATACTCAAAAAGAATAGAAAAATGTCCTGAAATAGGAGATAAAAGCAGACACAGTAATGACCAGCCTAGAGATTCTTGATTGGCAGTACTTCTAAGCAAAAAAAATTATCCAGCACAGGGCAAATATCTTCTAGTTTCCACCAGTGAAAAAAAAATTATAAAATGATAAGTGAGTCTCCCTACTGACAGAGAAGTTATAGGAAGAAAAACTTACATGAAATGTTCATATATAAAAACATATCATGGAGGTATTAACTTGATTGAAGCAGATGGTAGAGGCACCATAGGTCTACCACTTTGACATTTGTCTTATGTCCTAAAAGCCCATCATTACATTTCTGGGCTTGAGAAGCACTACTGGAAAATCATACTGTATGATTTGAATTACTATGAACAGATATAGGTTCATATATATATATATATAATTCATATATATATAAAATTCATATATATACACACATGTATATATATATAGTTAAATAGTGAAAATGAGGAGGACATTAGGTGTGAACAGGTTAAATTACCTTGCTAGTAGATGATCATTGTATATACCAGGGAGATGACTTCTACTCTTAATTTTCTCAGCCATTTAAATTAAGATAGGATCTTCAATTATGTTCTCACATATCTTTCAACGTGTTTTGTTCCTTCCATCTCCACTTGTGTGGCCATCATTCAAACACTGTCATTTCTCACCTTATAATAATGTTGTAACTGATAGCTACATGTTCAACCTAGTGTCTTTGAAAATTCTTCTCCATATGAGCAGTTCTGAACTAAACTGTAAGGATACTCTTGAATCAGTGCAAGGTAAAGAGATAGAACTACTGTTACTGACTTATTCAAAATCGGAATGATCCAAATATTATGCTGTAGCTCATGCTGCCTGTCTCCTTAACATTCTTTAATGGTTGCTAATCTTTTACATGATAAAATCCAAGCATCTTATCATGATCCATTAGTCAAAGTAAGCTAAGTTGCCTTGTATTAACAAATTAACCCCAGCTCTCAGGGGATTAACCAAATAAGACATTCATTTTTCACTCATAGAAATCCAACATGGGTCAGTACTCTCCTCCATCTGCAGCTACACTATATGAATGTTTGGTGTCCTCCAAGATTGCTCTAGAATAGGAATAAAGGGCATATGAAAAACACTTGTCCTTAACTGCCCAGCCTAAAAGTGACTACTTATGTTGTCTTTTTGTGAAATCTATGTCGACGAAAAGATTCAAATTCTATAAAATATTTTATGAGATTTATTCTGAACCAAATATGAGTAACCAATGGCCCATGACATAGCTCCAGGAGCTCCTGAGAATATGTTCCTAAGGTGATCGGGCTGTAGCTTGGTTTTATACATTTTAGGGAGACATGAGACATCAATCAGCACTTTGGGAGGTCAAGGGGGACAGATCCCCTGAGGTCAGGAGTTCAAGACCAGCCTGGCCAACATGGTAAAACACTGTCTCTACTAAAAATACAAAAATTATATGGGTGTGGTGGTGGGCACCTGTAATCCCAGCTACTCAGGAGGCTGAGGCAGGAGAATTGCTTGAAACAGGAGGTGGAGGTTGCAGTGAGCCAGGATTGCGCCACTGCACTCTAGCCTGAGCAACAGAGCAAGACTCAGTCTCAAAAAACAAAACCAAAAATAAAAGTAAATAAAAAAGACATCAATTAGTACATTTAAAGTGTACATTAGTTTGGTCTAGAAAGGCAGGACAATTGAATGGCAGGGTGGGGGAGCTTCCAGGTCATAGGTAGATTCAAAGATTTTCTGATTTGCAAGTGGTTGAATGAGTTCAGTTATTGTCTAAAGACCTAGATTCAGTAGAAGGGAATGTCCGTGTTAGTAGAGACCAGACTTCCCATTATGCAGACACAATCAATAGAAGGAAATTTCTGGGTTAAGATAAGAGGTTGTGGAGACCAAAGTTCTCATTATGCAGAGGAAGCCTCTATCTGAAAAGCTTCAGGAAGAACAGATTGTAAATGTTTCTTATCAGAGTTGATCCTTTCTGGATCAGGAAAAAGGCTTAGAAAATGAAAGAGATTCTCTTCAGATGTAGACTTTCCCCACAAGAGACAGCTTTGTAGGACTATTTCCAGATATGGCAAAGAAGATAATTTGGGGTAAAATACTTTGATTTCTTTCCGGGTCTGCTATCTGTCATGTGATGCTATTCTAGAGTCAGGCTGGAATCTGATATCTTATTGCTACAAAAGTTCTTCTTTGTCAGTCTTGAAATCTGTTTTAATGTTAATGTTGGTCATCTGTGCCCAAATTCCCAAAGGGAGGAGGGAATAATGAGGTATGTTCAACCTACACTTTCCATCATGGCCTGAACTAGTTTTTCAGGTTAACTTTGGAATGCCCTTGGCTGAGAGGAGGAGTCCATTCAGATGGTATGTGAGGCTTACAATTTTAGTTTTGGTTTACATATATTACATGTAATATATGTGACTTTTTTCACTAATGCATAAAATTATTTGAAATAAACTCAATTTCAGGTTACCAGGAAGAGGCTTTCTAAATCTCCTTAAACAGCTGTGAAGAGTAAAATAAAAAGAGATTGTCAAATGTCCCTTTCATATCTGGTATCCAAAGTCTTTCTTGATGTGCCCTCTATTTTTCAGCTTCATATTTTTCCATTGTCTTTAACAGATTTATTTGTTCTATCCACAACAGTTATCTGTTACTCTCAAATGCATTATGCTATATTTTATGCTTTTATGATTTAGAAAATATCTGAAATGCCATCTTAACTATTCTCTTCAGCCCCTCTGTTTTCCTACAAATATCTTATACATATTTAAGATTAAGTCATTTTGCTTTCTTTGCCTTGCAGTTGCTGAGCCAAAGAGTTGTTATCTGAAAGATTATTTAAGATATGTCATTCTGAGAATAAGAAAGATTGGTTGGCAAGAAAGATATTGTAGAACATAAAAGAAAAAGGGAGGAAAGGAGAAAGCAGGCAGGAGGGAAAGAAGGAGGCAAGGAAGGAGGGAAGAAAGGAAAGAAGAAAAGAGAAAGAAGGAAGGAGGGAAAGAAACAATTAGATTTTTTATCAAGATGTTTAGAGAACAAGGACATTGACGGAAACTAGGCATTACAGGCAAGAACATGGAGAAATAGGGAAAGAAATATTTGGTTGAAAACTATGTTATTAAGTCTTTAGAGAAAGCAAAATTATTGGGAGATTATAAATACAGATATAGATTGAGTTGTATATAAGATAGAATGATAGAGGAATAGGGTAGATAGAGAAATAGATAGATGATAGATGATTTTATTACAGAAATTATCTTATACAATTGTGATGGCTGGAAAAGCAAGCCCAAAGTTCTGAGGCAGGTGGTCAGAAAGGGAAGATGTAAAGGAAAGAAAAACAACTGCAAGGCCAGCTGCTGCTTAATGCGGTTCAATGATGTGAGTCAGAAGATCAGCAAAAATTAAGTGATGGATGAGGTACCAGAATGTAGAAATGTTTTACAGTCTTCTTTCTTTCTGTTGTGTGGACACTCTAATTTTAGTCCCCCTTTAAAGAGCTTTAAGCCAGCCAGCACAGGATAATCTCCCTTTTGATTAACTAAAATCAATGGATTTGGTAATTTAATTACATCTGTGAAGTCTTTTCCCAGTAGCACCTAAAGTTTGATTGACTAACTGGGGAAGATATGTGTATGATATAAAATGGCTGATGGATTCCTTCAGCCTTTCAACTCTTGGAAGAATCTCTCTTGCTTCCCATGCTAACTGGGGACACCCTAGAAAGGGAATTTCATGGGTTTTAGTTCAGCCTAGACAAGTTGACATGTTGCAAAACAATAAAGTAAATGAAATCCATTAATGCTGTGTACACTGGAATAAAACTTCTCAGTATCATCACTGATACTATCCCAGACAGAATGAAACACTCACTCTTTCAGCAGAGTTTTACATTTATAAGGTCACTGCAAACACTCAATTAGTGAATACTGAACTTTGCTAAGGAAAACACAGAATTAGGTTTCTGTTAGCCTCTGGTCTCAACATTTTTATCAACTGAAATATAGGTTCATTTGCAACATTGTTGTAAAACAATCCAGACTCACTAATGTTGAAAATCCGCTCTTACACATAACCTTTTTTCTCTATAACATTTAGCAGGTATTTAAAAATACTTCTGCAGTCTCTTGATCTACCGAACCTGTCCCATCTGAAAGTTTGGCATTGTTCATGCCGTATCACCATTTGAGATATGATAGCTAGCTGATACTAGCCAAAAAAATTTAACATTTCCTTAACTCTGTGTAACGTGACCGTAAATTTCTTTGGCCGTCAGCCTCATAGCAATACTGTCCAGTACACTTTTAAAAAAATTTTGTTACCTTCTCTTGAACCTACAAATTTTGTCACTTTTCTATCTTTTTCATATGTTTAGCACCCTTTGTGGCCATGAAAAAAATGCTATTCACTTCACCTATGCCAAAGATCCACATTATTGAGTAAGAGACTTAGAGTGACAGCAGTCTAAATATTGTCTATTGATGATAATACACAAGAATATCCGTGTGTGAAAATTTGTTAAACTCCATAGGAAGCACTCTGTAGAAGTATTTCCAATGAGTGGGAGGCTCTCATAGCCTCCACCTTCAAACTGAGGGGCGGTGTGCATGTTCTGCAGGGATTTTAGGCGGGAATAGAGAATATTGAAACACAAACATTTATGTGAAGGACAATAGGAGATAAAGTTGTATACTCCTATATTAATTCAAAACCACAGGATTAAAAAATATTAGCCAACAACTTATTTCTTTCTCAGTACTTTTAAGAGGTAAGTTTTTAAAATAGTAAATTTAAATAATAAAGTTCTCCATATTATTTGTGCAATAAAATAAGAGGGATTAAGAAATAGATATGAGTAACTCCCACCTACATCAACCTAAACATGAGAGAAAGTGGAAAGTGGTTGAACAACTAAAACCCAGGGACCAGGGTTATTTTAAAAACTAAATTTACTCAGATCTATTCACTGACCCAATTGTCTATGGAGTTTTTGCCCTCTAGACAAACACACAAATTACTTCCAGAAAAAAAAAGAACTGTGGAAGCTGAAGAAAATTGTTTTCTAACCTTTCTTGGCAAAAAAGGAAAAATACGTGACTGATATTCTACACAAGCACAGGAAAATCAAGTGCATTTTAAGCTATTAAATAAAAATATGGTTATATTTGCATGTGTAAGTACACATTTCTAAGTTTTTATTTAAAGTGAATATAACACTTTGTAAATAGAGTTGGTACTAACAGAAAACATAAATATAATTTATGTTATAGTAATTGCTTTTCCAACTTCTTTCAGAGTAGCACACATCCTTTTTAAGAAATCACAATTTGGATTTATTTTTGAATTTGTTTTCAATTATGAGGATGTTGCCTCCAAGTAGGATGTAAATGTAGGACTTATTCCTGTAGAAACAGTTCAAGGCGTCCAAGGTAGGTTTTGAGCAGCTGAAAACAATAGCAATAGTAGGCTAACAAAAAATAGGAAGAGAAGTATGTCTTCTCAGAAATTGTGAGTAGGCACAATTTCAGAAATGCAGTAAGGTCCAAATGTCCTCTAAATATCTCCCCCACTAATATTTGCCATCGTATCTGGAATTACTGTTATTAAAGTCATTATTTGTAGCTGAAATACTGTTTTCAGGTAGTTTAGTTTAAAAATACATATTTGCAGACATAGTGGTTCTAGTAATAACAGCAACAACAATAATAATAAGATGGTGATGATATACCACATTTATGCCAGGCATTCTTAGCGATGCTCTACAATGCTTCTTTCTTCCAACCTCGCACATCTCTTTTCCACATCATCACTCATAGCTAATGACTTTGCTTCCTACTTCAGTAAGAAAACAGGAGAATTTAGAAGAAAACATCAACATGCTTCAACTCCTGCATTTATCCACTTAGTTTTATCTATGCGATTCACTGTCTCAGTGTGCTGTCCCCATACATAGAATAAGCTCGATCTTATTTAAGGTCAACCTCTCCACCAGAGCACTACTTCCTATGCTAGCCCCTATAAAGGCCATCCCTCCCTTCTCTCCTAATCAATTTTTCCTTCTCTACTGAATTACTCTCCTCAGCTGACAATCATACTGTTATTCATCCTTTTTAAAATCATTATAATTCTTAATTTCACAGTGCCTTCAAGCTACTGCCCTGTTACTCCTGCTGCTTTTCTCTTTATAGCAAGCATTGATGTTCCACTTCCTGCCTTCTCATTTCCTCTTGAACCCATTTCAATCTGACTTTCACGCCTACTATTCCGACAAAACTGCTGAATTGAGGTCACTAATTTACTTTGAAAGCTGGCGCGATGTCTCACACCTGTAATCCCAGCATTTTGGGAGGCCATGGTGGGTGGATCATGAGGTCAAGAGATTGAGACCATACTGGCCAACATGGTGAAACCCTATCTCTACTAAAAATACAAAAATTAGCTGGGCATGGTGGCACAGGCCTGTAATCCCAGCTACTCGGGAGGCTGAGGCAGGAGAATCAATTGAACCCGGGAGGCAGAGGTTTCAGTGAGCCGAGGGGATCAGGCCGCTGCACCCCAGCCTGGCGACAGAGTGAGACTCCGTCTTGGGAAAAAAAAATGTAGTGAACACTGATTATGTCCAGTGGGTTCATCCGGTGATCATGTAGTCCTTATTCTGTTTTAACTAGCAATAACATTTGATACAACTGATTACTCTCTCCTCCCTAAAATACATTTTTCACTTGACTTTCAGGACAGCTTATACTCCATTTCAGTGCTTCCTCACTGCCTACTTCTGTTTCCTTTGTTGCTTCCTTCTAATGGCAAAAAATGCTAATCATTTAAAATTTCCCACTTAGAAAAAAAAGTGCAGCTCACTGCCAGCACTCATTTAATTTTACATAAACACGCTTTTTGAGGCTGAAGCAAATCTGACTGACTTTGAATGTGAAAATAAAATACAAAAAAAAAATGTTATTGGAGTTATTTCTAACCAGAACTTGTCTCTAATTCTAATGTAATGTAAATGTATATGATGATCAGTATTGAAATTTCTTTTGTGTGTGTTAAACTTTCAAAGCAAGGAACAACACAAACAGGAACATCACAACATTCCGACAAAAAATATCACGTTTCTCTCCGGATCTTGTTGTGATCCTTGTTGTTGTGAAAGCAGCAAACTTTGGAATGACCAGTTGGATTCTGTTTCCCTGATGTTGGTGGTGTGCTCTTGGGGAAATGTCTTCCAGGCAAGTGAAGAGGTGTGGCATCATCAGAGCACAGACACCCTGGAAGACATTGCTGCCCTGGCTTGTGGTGCTTTTCTAGCACTCTTTCCATCAATGGCAGTCTGAAGTTTACATGGCTAATCATGTGCTCAGGATTGTCCTTCTTGAATAGGATGTAGGAGTTCAGAACTGTAATGTTTAGAAGGTGGTGAAATAATTTCTTCTACTAAACCTTGTGCCTTTTGTGTTCAGGTGCATAAGAAGTGAGCATCTGCTCAGCCGAGTCCAGTGCTCCCAGATTCTCGTTATAATACACAATGAGACATGGCTCCTTAGTTTTCCTTCCATTTCTGTTGTCTACTTCAATCAAAGTATTATTGTGCAGTGATGACAGCATTGTCACCTCCTTCTTGTCACTCCATTCCATCTCAGGGTAAATGCTGAAGCCACCAGAACCACCAGTGAGTATCCTTGGGCCAAATGGGAAATAGGTTAAGTGCTTCAGAATTCAGTCTTCATTACTTATCATTTTTTCCTCTTCTCTCTCATGCTATCTCATTTAGTCTCATGACTTCACTTCTTAGTATGACATTGTCCTTTGGGTGTCTAAGCATTATATATCATTAGCTATCTGAATTAAATTCTTCTTTTCCTCCAGCCTCAAGCCTACTCATCTGTCTTTCATATCTCAGTAAATTTGAGCTCATTTCTTCCAGTTCTGTAGGCCTAAATCCTTATACCCTTCTTTCTCTCCCATGCAACATACCTCAGCAATTCCTCTCAGTTCCACTGTCATCACATATCCAGAATGTGACTACTTCTCATCACGGACTTTTGCTACCCTAATCCAAGCAACAGTCATTTTTCATCTGGTTATTGCAGTTGTTTCCTGTTTCTTCTTGTACCCCACATACCTCTACTCCCTATAATATATTGCCCACATAAGTAGTCAGAATAATCCTTTACAAATAAAATACAATGTAATTGACTCCTCTCTTGGAAGACTCCAATATCTTTCTATTCCACTTAGATTAAAGGACAAAGTCCAAGATGACCTAATTTTGTGTAAATGACTATCAACTTATCTTTTCCTACTCTCTCCTTACATCTATTCTATCCACACTGGCTTCTTCTTTACTCATTGAACAAATTAGGCCCACAAGTTTCAACTTGGATCAGTTTTATCACTCTGAATGAAAAACTTGCTCTCTAAATATTCAGTTTGTAATATGGTTTGGCTGTGTCCCCATCCAAATCTCACCTGGAATTGTAATAATCCCCACATGTCAAGGGCAGGTCCAGGTGAAGATAATTGAAACTTGGGGGCAGTTTCTCCCATACCCTTCTCATAATAGTGAATAAATCTCATGAGATCTGATGGTTTCATAACTGGGAGATCCTCTGCACATGCTCTCTTGCCTGCTGCCATATAAGATGTCACTTTTCTCTTCTTTCTTCTTCTGCCAAGATTGTGAGGCCTCCCCAGCCATGTGGAACTGTGAGTCCATTAAACCTCTTTCCTTTATAAATTACCCAGTCTCAGGTATTCCTTTATTAGCAGCATGAGGACAGACTAATATTGTTGGCTTGCATATTAATCCATTTTGACACTGCTATAAAGAGCTACCTGAGATTGGTTAATTTATAAAGAAAAGAGGTTTAATTGACTCACAGTTCCACATGGCTGAAAAGGCCTCAGGAAACTTACAATAATGGCAGTTGGCAAAGGGGAAGCAAGTCATATCTTACATGGTGGCAGTAGAGACAGAGTGAAGTGTGAAGTGCCATACATGTTTGAACCTCAGATCTCATGAGAACTTGCTATCATGAGAACAGCAAGGGTGAAAACTGCCCCCGTGATACAATCACCTCCCACCAAACCCCTCCCCTGATGTGGGGATTACAATTCAACATGAGATTTGGGTAGGGACACAGAGCCAAGCCATAGCATTCTGACCCTGACCTCTCCCAGAGCTCATGTTCTTTTCACATTTCAAAACCAGTCATGTCTTCCCAACAGTCCCCCAAAGTCTTAACTCATTCTAGCATTAACTCAAAAGTCAACAGTCCAAAGTCTCATCAGAGACAAGGTAAGTCCCTTCTGCCTATGAACCTGTAAAATAAAAAACGAGTGAGTTACTTCCAAGATACAATGGTATCTTGGTAAATGCTCCCATTCCCAAAGGGAGAAATTGGCCAAAACAGAGGTGCTACAGGCCCTATGGAAGTTCAAAACACAGCAGGGCAGTCATTAAATCTTACACTTCTAAAATAAAGCTCCTTTGACTCCATGTCTCACATCCAGGGCACACTTATGTAAGAGGTAAGCTCCCAAGGCCATGGACAGCTCTGCCCTTGTGACTCTGCAGGGTACAGACTCTGTGGCTTCTTTCATGGGCCAGTGTTGAGTGCCTGTGGCTTTTCCAGGCGCATGGCGCAAGCTGTTGGCAGATCTACCATTCTGTGGTCTGGAAGATGGTGGCCCTCTTCTCACAACTCCACTAGGTAGTGCATCAGTGGGATCTCTGTGTGGGAGCTCCAACTCCACATTTCCCCTTTGCATAGCCCTAGTAGAGATTATCCATGAGGACTCCACCTTTGCAGCAGACTTCTGCCTGGACATCAGACATTTCCATACGTCCTCTGAAGTCTAGCTGGAGGTGCCCAAATCTCAGTTCTTGCCTCTGTGCACCTGCAGGCCCAAGACAATGTGGTAGCGGCCAAGGCTTGGGACTTGCAACCTCTGAAGCTATGGTCTGAGATGTACCTTGGTTCCTTTTAGGCACAACTGGAGCTGGAGTGGCTGGGATGCAGAATGCCACATCCAGAGGCTGCACAGAACACTGGGGCTCTGGGATTGACCCAGGAAACCATTTTTCTCTCCTAGGACTCCAGGCCTGTAATGGGAGGGGCTGCCATGAAGATCTCCGAAATGCTCTAGAGACGTTTTCCCCATTGTCTTGGCTATTAACATTTGGTTCCTCGTTACTTATGTAAATTTCTGCAGCCAACTTGAATTTCTCCCAGGAAAATGGTTTTTTTTTCTTTCATACCACATGTCCAGGCTTCAAATTTTTCAAACGTCTATGCTCTGCTTCCCTTTTAAATGTAAGTTCCAATTTCAGACCATCTCTTTCTTCACTCATATGAGCATACACTTTTAGAAACAGCCAGGTTACATCTTGAATGCTTTGTTGCTTAGGAATTTCTTCTGTCAGATATCCTAAATTATCTCTCTGAAGTTCAAAGTTCCACAGATCTCTAGGGTGGGGGCAAAATGCCACCAGTCTCTTTTGTAAAGCATAGCAAGAGTGACTTTTACTTCAGTCCAAATAAGTTCCTCATCTCCATCTGAGACCACCTCAGCTTGGACTTCTCTGTTCATATTGCATTTTAGTCAAAACCATTCAACAAGACTGTAGGAAGTTTCAAACTTTCCCACATCTTTCTGTGTTCTTCTGAGTCCTCCATACTGTTCCAACATCTGCCCATTGCCGAGTTCCAGAGTTGCTTCCACATTTTCAGGTATCTTCACAACAGTGCCCCAAAATCTTGGTACCAATTTTTTTGTATAAGTTCATTTACACACTGCTATAAATAACTATCTGATACTGAGTAATTTATAAAGAAAAGAGGTTTAATTGACTTACAGCTCTGCATGTCTGAGGAGACATCAGGAAATTTATAATCATAGCATAGTCAAAAGGGAAGCAAGACACGTCTTATATGGTGACAGAAGAGAGAGAGAAAAGGGAGAAATGCCACACACATTTAAACCATCAGATCTTGTGAGAATTTACTATCATGAGAACAGCAAGGGGAAATCCACCCCCATGATCTAATCACCTCACACCAGGCACCTCCCCTGACACATGGGGATTATAATTCCACATGAGATTTCAGTGGGGACACAGAGCCAAACAATAATAGCTTGCTAACTCATTTGTGTTTTATCTTTTTCTAAATGTCACTTCAGTGGGGCTGCCCTATTTAGAATTGCACCCATACATACATGCATACATCCCTACTTTGTTTCCTACTAATTTTTTTCCAGAGTACCTTTAACTTGCTTACATAGTATTTATTTTATTATAGCTCTCTTTTTTTGTCTTTTTTCCCTCCTTAGTAAAATATAGGTTTTATGAAGAAAGTAGTTTTATCTATTTCTGTTTATTGTTTTATCTTCAGGACATTGAATAAGAGGAGGAAGACGTTTGTCAATACATGATAAATACTTTATAAATGATGATGATAATTATGATAATGTTTACATCTATGTGCATTACACTGTTTCCAGAGTATTACAGGGTTGTGCAGTCCTCCCAAATATCTCATGTTAGATATTGTTATTTTTATTGACAATATCAATAAGCTTAAACAACTTGCCAAAGGTTAACAGCAAATAATTACGATGCCAAATTTTGAACCCAGAAATGGTGGACCCAAATTTTACATTATAGAGGCTATATTAATCTATTAGCGTTCATTTTTATACAGAAAATTGCTAATTTATAAAAGCTGTCACTGTGGAAAGTGGAGTATTTTACTTGATTCATTGGGATATAAGAAATAAATTCCTTAATAGGTCAAATAATAGAAATCTAAAGGATAGATATTTCCAATTTTGGCTATAATAACAGGGAGAGCCATGGAAGCCAGGATGAATTACAGATTTAGTAGATGTGTTCCTCATGACAGAGAAGCAACAAAGGCTTGCATTATGAAGGTGTTATTTGTTAAGAGCCTACCTTGGATCAGGTTATAATGAAAGACACTTAAATCCTCTTTTGTTTATAATGCACCAACATATTAAATTATATCTTTTATTTTATATGATTTTTTGTGAAAATTTCAGTTAAATAATCCTTTTGATATATCACAGGATTGTGTAAAGTTGGATTGTCTTGCTTTTCATATAAAGTCTAATATGACATTCCAATCTAATATTTTATCAACACAGTTATAGGGAGTGTTGATCTGCTTACACCAAAAACTATTTGTACATTTTTCATCACATTTGTAATATTCAAGAGTTTTTTATTGTTGTTTTTCCTCTAGTGTTAGCAGTCCATACTGTGTACATTTTTCATTGGCAGCTAATTGCTCAATAAGTAACTCAAAGTAATAAGAAATTTTTCAAGATGAAAATGGCATAATATTTTATTTAATTACATAGTAAGTTAGGTCCTCATTATGACTGACAATAATATTTTTTTTTCCAGAGTCCCTCCAACTATTCTTACTCAGGAGAAAGTTTTAGCCATAGTTGAAACTGGAACATAATATGACACATCAGTTTAGAAGGCTTTTCTGAAACTGAAATAGTTCTTTTATTAAAAGATTTTCATGGAACCCCAAGGTTCTAATTTTTTTAAGGAGCAACTTAATCTACCTGCAGATGCAAACACAAATTATTTCTCCTATGCATGATGCCATTGTTTCTCTGGTCTACCTAAAAAAATTTAGTCTTGTCCTGGGAGGAAATACAGATATGTTGACAAACCTGATCAGGTCACTTTTCTAATTATAATTGAAGAAGGCACAAGTACATGAAATTATATTTCATGACAAAAGTAAATAAAACTATAATATTTAATGTTCATTTGGAAAAATTAACATTTTTAAATGTCCATACTACCCAAAGTGATCTACAGAGTCAATGTAATCTCTATCATAATTCCTGTGATAGTTTTCATAGAAGTTGAGAAAACATGCTTAAAATTAACATGTAAGCATAAAAGATTCTGAATACTTAAAGCAATCTTGAGCATAAAGAAAAAAGCCAGAGGCATCATACCACCTAAGTTTAAAATACACTACAAATCCAAAATAATCAAAACAGCATGCTACTAGAATAAAAAACAGATGCATCAACCAATGGAACAGAATAGAGAATACAGAAATAAATTCACACATTTATTATCAATTGATTTTCAACAAGATGTCAAGAACACATAATGGAGAAAGGACAGTCTTATAAAATGGTGTTAGAAAAACCATTTATCTACACACAAGGGAATGAAATTAGACGTTTATCTCACACCACATACAAAAATAAACTCAAAATGGATTAAAGACTTAAAAACTTAAGACCTAAAACTGTAAAACTACTAAAAGAAAACAATACTTCATGACATTGGTCTATGTAATAACTTTTGGGATGAAACCCCAAAAACAGGCAAAAATAGACAAATGAGGTTGCATCAGAGTAAAAACATTCTGCAAAGCAAAGGGAACAATCAACAGAGTAAATAGGAGAAAAATATTTGTAAACCACCTTTCTGACAAAGAGTTAATATCTAAAATATATAAGGAACTCAAAGAACTCAATAGTAAGAAAATAAATAGCCCAATTAAAAATGAACGAAGGACCTGATAGATATTTCTCCAAAGAAGACATACAATGGTCAATAGATGTATGAACAAGTGTTTAACAGCCCTCATTGTCAGGGAAATACAAATTCAAACAACAAAGAGATATCACCACACACATTAGAATGGTTAGTATCGAAAAGATGAAAAATTAGTGTTGGTGAGAATGTGGAGACACAAGAACATTTGCACTCTTCTTGGGAATGTAAATTACTACAGGCATTATGCAAAACAGTATGATTGATCTCAAAAAAATAAAAAAATAGAACTACTATATGATTGAGCAATCCCACTGCAGAGTATATATCCAATGGAAGTGAAAATATTATGTAGAAGAGATGTTTTCACTTTTACATTTATTTCAGCATTATTCACAATAGCCACAATATGGAATTAACCTAAGTGTCCGTCAAGAGGTAAATTGATAAAGAAAAATATGGTATAAAAATATCCAAACAACTCTATAAACTTAATAAATTCCTCAGCATTTTGTACTGGCCCAAAGCTAGTAGCTTTTATCTCCTCTCTTGTTTTATATATATGCACTTTTCCATAAGCATGAGCCATAACAACTGGATATAATTCCCTCATATTACTTTGTTTCTTGCCACTTCTTTCCCTGCCCTTGTTGTGTGACAACTATCCGTTCTTAAAGATTGAACTCCAATATCCCACCTATCAGCAATGATTCGCTGATGTCTCTAGCTCTCCAGTTAAATACACCTCTTCATCTATTCACTTAGATTCTTGATTAGCCATGCTTCTAGCTTCTATAAATTTCATAGTGGACATGACTTGTTATGGACAACTTAATAATATGCTTGAGGCACATTACTTGGCTTCCTGCCTCCCTCATCATCAGCCCAACTCCTCAAGAAGAACCTTTCTCCTGGAGGAGACTTTTCAACTACACACCAATACATTTACATGTAACATACAAAAATATTCTACTTCCACCTATGCTTTCTAAAGGTTACATTTATGATGAAATATATGACCCAAAAAGAAATTATTTTTAAAAATCACGTTATTAAGGTATAATTAACATACAAAACCTTGTATGTCTTGGACTGTTAGCACTGTTATAACAAAATGTCATAAACTGGGTAGCCTATAATGAACAGAAATTTATTCCTTAGATTTCTAGAGTCTGGGAAGTCAAGATCAAGGCGCTGGTACCTTTGGTGTCTGGTGAAGGCTGCTTTCTGGTTCATGTGTGCTACCTGCTCTCTGTGTGCTTATGTGATGGAAGGGGCGGGGCAGCTCTCTGAGGCCTCTTTCATAAGAGCACTAAACCCATTGATGTGGATTGCATCCTTATGTGCCAATCACCTCCCAAAGGCCCCACTTCCACGTGTCATTACGTTGAAGATTTAGTTTTAACATATAAATTTGGGGCAGGGGGAGAAACACAAACATTCAGACCGCAGCACTGTACATATTTAAGGTATAGAACTTAACATGTTTGAATATAAGTATACAACTGTGAAACCATCACTTTGATCTGTGTCATAAATGTATTCATCTCCAATATTTTCTTTCAAAAAATATTAATAGGGTAATTCATACATAAGCAAATCTAGTTTGTTGCAAAATAATGCCTTAGAAAATTTCTACAGTGAAGCATTGCTTAGCAATGAGGATATGTTCTGAGAAATGTGTCATTAGGCAATTTTGTTACTGTACAAACATCACAGAGTGTACTTACACAAACCCAGATGGTATAGCCTACTACACACCTGGGCTATATGATATAGCCTGTTGCTCCTAAGTTACAAACCTGTGCATCATGTTACTGTACTACATACTCTGGGCAATTGTAACACAATGGTATTTGTGTAACTAAACATAGACAAGCTACAGTAAATATACAGTATTATAATCTTATGGGGTATATGTAGTCTGAACAAAATATTGTTAGGTGGTGCATGACTGTATCCGGAATATTCACCCTTCAAGAATTTTTCTATATGATGATAAATCAGTAAGTAGATATAGTCGAATGTGTCTTCACCACTTTCCTGCTTTCTTTTATATGAGCTTTCTCTGCTTGTGGTATTACTGCCTAGTAAAATGGCCTTATGTTTGATGATACATAATACTCATGATTGCAAGACTATGTAATACAAAGCACATTAATTTTTACTTTAACATGTTTTTATATCAGTGTGGTAATCTTCACATATATTTATACATTTATCTTTTTCTTTGAATTTGGTTTTTGCATAAGGAGAACACTAAATAAAATGATAGTTTGACACTTTTTTTGTTTCACTTTAGGAATTTCTAGTAAAGAATGCAGGCAGTTGTTATTAGGTTTGAGAGTATAGTTATTTTGGTCTACCTGGCTGCAAGCCAGTATGTCTGCTTTGCATGACTATGTAGGGTAGCTGAATTCTCACAGCTATTTCTTTCAAATATATATTATATTACAGAAAATTTTTCTAAGAGGGTTTATAATCCTATATCTTGACTCTGTGCCATGAATGTATATAAAGCTCATCAATTTGAGCCTATTTTGCTTATATTTATTTAAGAAAAAAATAAAAAGTAATACTTCTAAGTGAAGAGCAAAATATTTAGAATTATGAGGAATACAAAAAATTGTATAAAACTCAATGCTAAACACCAGAAATTTGAAATATAGTTGAAGATTATCTAAAGAAAGATAAACTAACTATATAAAAAAGGATAGTAACAACCACTAATTTAACGTCTCTGACCATATATAATATTAAACAGTTTGCATACATTATCTTATATAGTTATCCTCCAAATGCTTTGGGGACTGTATAATTATTTCCATTTCCCAACTGGAAAAACTGAGATGTAGACATTTACTTTAGCTTGTTTAATGTTACACAATTAGTACATGGCAAAGCTAGAATTAAAATACAAATGTCTAACCCCAAAGTTACAGTATCTCTACAAAAGAAAACTCCACAAGATACTATGAAGATAAATGGAATTTGGGCAACTTTTCATACATAAATAATAAAAATATGTAGAGAAAAGAAATACTTTTGGTTAGCATGCTCGTGGAGTTTCTATAAGAGCTAAACATTACCATGTGTATTAGTTTTCTTTTGTAGCTATAAGACATTACTACAAACTAAATGGCTTAAAATAACAACTTTTCTTAAAATTCTGGAGCTCACAAGTCTGGTATGGGTCTCACTGGGTAAAAGTAAACATCCAGGCAGTGTTGTATTCCTTTTTAGAGGCTCTAGAGAAAAATATCTTTCTAGCATCTGGAAGCTGCTCACATTTCTTAGCTCATGGCACATTTCCTGCATTTTCAAAGCCGATATTGATGTGTTTAGTCTTTTGCGCACCACATAACTCCAGCTTTCTCTTCTGACTCCCTCTTCTACATTTAAGGATCTTTGTAATTATGTTGGGTAGTTACATACATTGAAAATCCAGGATAATTTCCCTATCAGCTAATTAGTAATTTTTTTTTAATTTTCATAACTTTTGGGGGAACAGATGGTATTTGGTTACATGAGTAAGTTCTTTAGTGGTGATTTGTGAGATTTTGGTGCACTCATCACCCAAGCAGTACACACTGAACCCAATTTATAGTCTTATCTCTTACCCCTCTCCCACCCTTTCCCCCTGTGTCCCCAAAGTCCGTTATATCATTCTTATACCTCTACATCCTCATAGTTTAGCTCCCACTTATGAGTAAGAACGTACAATGTTTGTTTTTCCATCCCTGAGTCACTTCACTTAGAATAATAGTCTCCAATTCCATCCATATTGCTATGAATACCATTAATTCATTCCTTTTTATGGCTGCGTGGTGTTCCATTTATATATATATATTATATATATACACATATATAACATATACGTATATATAATATATATTATATATATACACATATATAATATATACGTATATATAATATATATTATATATATAATATGTTATATATAATATATAATATATAATATGTTATATATAATATATAATATATAATATGTTATATATAATATATAATATATAATATATTATATATTATATATTATATATTATATATAATATATATATTCCACAGTTTCTTCATCCACTCATTGATTGTTGGGCATTTGGGCTGGTTCTACATTTTTGCAATTGCAAATTGTGCTGCTATAAACATGCGTGTGCAAGCATCCTTTTTGTATAATGGCTTCTTTTTCTCTGGGTAGACACTCAGTAGTGGGATTGCTGGATCAAATGGTAGTTCTACTTTTAGTTCTTTAAGGAATCTCTACACTGTTTTCCACAGTGGTTGTAGTAGTTTACATTCCCACCATCAGTGCAGAAGTTTCCCCTTTTCACCACATGCTTGCCAACATCTATTATTTTTTAATTTTTTTATTATGGCCATTCTTGCAGCAGTAAGGTAGTATCACATTGTGGTTTTAATTTGCATTTCCCTGATCATTAGTGATGTTGAGCATTTTTTCACATGTTTGTTGACAATTTGTGTATCTTCTTTCGGCAATTAACTATTCATGTCCTTAGCCTACTTTTTGATGGGATTGCTGCTTTTTTCTTGCAAATTTCTTTGAGTTCTTGTAGATTCTGGACATCAGTCCTTTGTTGCATGTATAGATTGTGAAGATTTTTTTCCCAGTCTGTGGGTTGTCTGTTTATTCTGCTGACTGTTCCTTTTGCTGTGCAAAAGCTCTTCAGTTTAGTTAAGTCTTCCTTATTTATCTTTGTTTTTGTTGCTTTCGCTTTAGGGTTCTTGGTCATAAAATCTTTGCCTAAGCCAATGTCTAGAAGGGTTTTTCCGATGTTATCTTCTACAATTTTTATGGTTTCAGGTCTTAGATTTAAGTATTTGATCCATCTTGAGTTGATTTTTGTGTAAAATGAGAGATGACAATCAAGTTTCATTATTTTAGATGGGGCTTGCCAATTATCCCAGCACCATTTGTTGAATAGGGTGTCTTTTTCCCACCTTATGTTTTTGTTTGCTTTGTCAAAGACCAATTGGCTGTAAATATTTGGGCTTATTTCTGGGTCTGTATTCTGTTTCATTGGTCTATGTGTCTATTTTTATACCAGTACCATGCTATTATGGTGACTATGGCCTTATAAAATAATTTGAAATCAGGTAATGTGTTGCCTCCAGATTTGTTCTTTTTGCTTAGTCTTGCTTTGGCTATGTGGGATATTTTTGGCTCCATATGAATTTTAGCACTGTTTTTTCTAGTTCTGTAATGAATGATGGTGGTATTTTTATGGGAATTGCATTGAATTTGTGGATTGCTTTTGGCAGTATTTTCATTTTCACAATATTGATTCTACTCATCAATGAACATGGGATGTGTGTCCATTTGTTTGGGTCATCTATGATATTTCTCAACAGTGTTTTTGTTTGTTTGTTTGTTTTTACTGTAGAAGTCTTTTACCTCCTTGATTAACTATATTCCTAAGGTTTTTTTTTTCAGCTATTGTAAGAGGAATTGAGTGTTTTGATTCTCAGCTTGGTCACTGTTGGTGTATAGAAGAGCTACTGATTTGTGTACATTAATTTTATATCCTAAAACTGCAGAGGGCCTTGTATACCAAATTTACTGAGGGTTTTAATCATAAAGTGATGCTGGATTTTGACAAACGCTTTTTTTTTTGCATCTATTGAGATGATTATGTGATTGTTTTGTTTTTAATTTTGTTTATGTGGCAAATCACAATATTGACTTGGCGTATGTTAAACCTCCCTGCATGCCTGGTACAAAACTCACTTGATCGTGGTGTATTATTTTTTTGATATGCTGTTTGATTCAGTTAGTTAGTATTTTGTTAAGGATTTTTGCATCTATCTTCATCAGCGATATTGGTCTGTAGAATTCTTTCTTTGTTATGACCTTTTCCTGGTTTGGATATTAGGGTGATTCTGGCTTCATAGAACAATTTAGGGAGGATTCCCTCTTTATCTTGTGAAATAGTGTCAGTAGGAGTGGTAGCAATTCTTCAAGTGTCTGGTAGAATTCAGTTGTGAATTCATCTGGTCATGAGTTTTTTTGTTGCTTTTGGTAATTTTTTTTATTACCATTTCAGTCTCAGTGCTTGTTATTGGTCTGTTTAGAGTTCCTAATTCTTTCTGACTGAAAGTAGGAGGGTTGTATCTTTCCAGGACTTTATCCATCTCCTCTAGGTTTCCTAGTTTATGTGTGTAAAGGTGTTCATAGTAGCTGTGAATGATCTTTTGTATTTCAGTGATGTCAGTTGTAATATCTCCTGTTTTGTTTCTCAGTGAGTTTATTTGGATCTTCTCTCTTCTTTTCTCGGTTAATCTTGCTAATGGTCTATCAATTTTATTTATCTGTTCAAAGAACTATCTTTTTGTTTCATTTATCTTTTGTATTGTTTTTGTTGTTGTTGTTTCAATTTTATTTAGTTCTTCTCTGATCATGGTTATTTCCTTTCTTCTGCTGGATTTGGGTTTGGTTTGTTCTTGTTTCTCTAGTTCCTTGAGGTGTGACCTTAGATTGTTTATTTGTGCTTTTTCAGACTTTTTGATGTAGACGTTTAAGGGCTATAAACCTTCCTCTTAGCAGTGCCTTTGCTCTATCCCAGAGGTTTTCATAGGTTGTGTCACTATTATTGTTCAGTTCAAATAATTTTTAAATTTCCATCTTGATTTCATTGTTGACTGAAGGACAGGTTATTTAATTTCCATCTATTTGCATGGTTTTGAAGGTTCCTTTTGGAGTTGATTTCCAGTTTTATTCCACCGTGGTCTGAGAGAGTACTTGGTATAATTTCAATTTTCTTAAATTTATTGAGCCTTGTTTTGTGGCCTGTAAGAACGAATCTGGGCTTTGGTTCTTCCCCTGCCTGTGCAGTCTGCACACCAGATTCAGGCCCTCCCCTGAGTTCTGGCCAGGAGACTTCATATAGGGTTGGAATTGTTACAAAGTTCATCTGGAGATTTCCTCCTTTTTGTGGTCTTTTTGGAGTTCTTCTGGCAGCCCTCCCCAAGGACCCCTGTGTGACAAGTCATAAATGGTTTCTCTGGGGATCCAGAGAGCCCACAGGGCTTTTCCTGCTGTTTCTTTTGCCCCTGTATTTTGCTCAGCTCTCTAAATTGACTCAGTTCCAGGTAAGGTCACATCCTTCTCCCATGATCTAGACCTTCAGGTTCCCCAGTGAGGGTGTGTGTTTGGGGGTGGATGATTTCCCTTTCCCACTTAAACAGCTTGGGCACTCACGGTATTTGGGCTGTTTCCCAGGTCCTGCAGAAGCAATCCACTTCCTTCGGAGGGTCTGTGGATTCTCTCTGCTTTCCTGGCATAGTACTGCAGTAATTCTGCAGCAAAAGTTCATTATGTAAGTTTCCTACATGCTGCTCTGTCCTTCTGAGTGGGCAGTTAATAAATTTAGTTCTATTTGCAAGCCTAATCATACTTAGCTTGTAACATAACATATTCACAGGTTCCAGGGATTAGGACATTAACATCTTTGGGTATCTGATATTCTGCCTACCACACCATGCTTAATTTTACTCAGAGCCTAGAAAAAGTTGATGCTGCAGAATTAAGGCAGAATTAATTACCTTTAAAGAACATCTTTTCAAAGATAATAGTACACCAACTTCTATAATCAGTAATAACTGATACTAAGTAATGAAAGTGTCTCTAATCAGTAGCATTCAGTAGATGTTTCATGGGCATAGCTGCCATGAAAATGTTTACGTAATTGCCTAAAGAACACCAACAAACATAGTTTATTTACAAATAATATAGAAAAATAAAGAGGAAATCACTTCGAATTCTTTCATACTTTATAAATCATGACCCCATGGTTCCCTTTGGGAATATGAATATATGGAAGATATCACTATTCTATTAGGCACAGAAATTCCTGTCCTCTTCTGAAGTTATTTTGTTTCTTCTGCCCCCACTTTAATCTGACTGATCTGGAGACTCTACTTACATATATGCCTGACAAAATTGCATAGTAACAAAATGTTCATTAAAGGTTTCAGTAGAGTAAAAGATAATTTCCCAAGACTTGAATGTGTGTGAGGAGAGAGAGAGAAAGAAAGTGAGAGAGAGAGAGAGAGAGAGAGAGAGAAACTGCTTCTCATCTGGATGTCTGGATTTCTTCTCATTGTGAATGAACAATTGTCCTCAATGGTGGTCACGTTGTTTAGAAGAGTTTTAGGCTATGGCAATAATATTCTTAATTCAGTAGTTCTGCAGTAAATTTCCTCACAGTTCTTCCTTCTTACTCATTTCTTCCCCCATATTTATTTTTTTACACAGAAATAGGAGAAATTGATACTAAAGACCAAGTAAAATGCATGACAATAGTAGAGTAGAACTTAAGGTGATGCTTCAAAGAAACTACAAAGTAATAAGTACTACTGCCAACTCTTCTCTAGCTACCAGGAAATATGTTGCTGTTACAATGGGTAAATAGGTAATAGTATCTATTAATCAATGTAATTTAAGGTGTACATGTGTTTAGTGTGAAAATCAAAATAGAAAAATCTATAACCAATTTAGTTTTCACTGTTGCTTTCAAAAAAAAGATAATTATAATAATAAGATTTACTAACATTTAACTAAGTATGAGGATTAATACACATTGTCTAGACATATCCCTTTAGCACAGGCTTTATTATTTCAATAATTTTCTACTTGAAAACGAATATAAAAATATGACTTAAGAAATTATGTTGTTTTGTTTTCTCATCAGTATTTTAAATAATTTATGGATTTAGTTATATATGTTTTGAAAGTGAAATCCACTGCCCAGTGTAGCCTTTATGTCATTCTTTGTTTCAACAGTTTATATCTTCATTTCACATATAAACAAACATATAAAATTCCATAGCAACTATGCCAATTCAGCAATATTTTGTTGGCTCTTTTTTTCTTTCTTTTTACTTTCATGTGGGAACTTCCCGATTTTAAGACATAATATTTTAAAATCCTTTTTAGGCTTTCAGGTCAAACAGTCAGATGAGGCACCGGAACTGCAATATAGGATACAAAAGAAATAAAAGCACTATAGTGAAAGAAATAGAAACAGTGTGGAGGTGGGGAGCAGAGAGAAGATTCATGCATTGGGAAGATGTGCGGCAGCCAGCAGAGAGGGTAAGGTGGCAATGGAAGCAATGGAAGGGGTAGTGAATATTCTTTGCTCAAGTCTTATAGGATGCTTAGGTTGATGTTTAGGATACAGGTGACAAATGAGGTGTGGAACTGAAAAAGAAGGGCTAATGAAGGCTTTCTATACACAATGCCTGCTATATAAAATATCTCATATTTACCTAACACTTAGAATTCTTACTTTGTGGGAGTGGAGCAGTTAAAACAGCTCCCTGCCTGGATACATTCAAATAAAACAGCAGGGCTATCACACCCTGGTTTTGTCCTCATACAGTTTCCCTCCCAAGGAGAAGAAGTTTTGGTGAAACATTTTTTTATGTATAATGCAGAAAAGGACACTCCCTTTAATATTATTGTGAAATTCCACCTAATTATTCATTCTAGTAAGTGAGTCAACACCAGGATTCATCACTTCAGTTTAAACACTCGCAACAGAAAAGACAGTGTCTGAATTGAAGAAACTGATTCTGGTGTAGTCATAAACAACTAAAGAGTAGAAAATAACTTTCAAGAAAAAGCTATAAAATTAGAATATTCAGAGATATAGTAAAAGATAGTGTATGCTTCAAAGCAGGAAGAGGAACAATTAGAGAAATGCAAATGACTCTTTAAAAGTATATATATATATATATATGAAAATCTAGACAGTGGCATCACCAAGATGGTGGAGTAGGAGATACCAGCCTTTATGGCCCTACAAAAACACAAATATAGACAGCTATTCACAAACCAAAATAACCCAGAGAGGGTACAAGGGCCTATTAAAAGGTCTGCAGCAACACAGTAGATAAAACAAACAAAACAACAAAACAGAGACAGGAGCAAAGAAGAAAGGAGAAAGGCAGGGGCTATCAGTAAGGGCTACAGTGCTGGAATCACTGTGTTTGCCAGTGGCCTGCTCCTCAGATGACACTGAAATCTTTAGCCACTGAGGTAACCAACAGCTATTCCTGCTGGGGAATTCCAGACAGGAAGACGTGGCTGCATACCCCTCCTCCACCCAAGAAGTAGCCACTGTTGCGCCACTTTAGGAAATGAGCTGCCACTTCTCCCACCTCATGCATGTCCTAACTCTGGGGTCATGGCAGCTCCTTGCATGCCTACACTCCAGATCAGGCTTTTGTGACTGTGATGAAACTGCTCACATCTCAGATACCAGAGCCATCGCCATAGCAGCTAGTTTGCACCCCAGGCCCTGGAGCCAAGCCCTCCCTGTGGGTTTATACTCACAATGCTATCACCAGATCAGCCGTCATAGAGAACTCGGTCCTGGCTCAATCCTGGGACCAGCCTAACTCTTCACATGCCTGTGCTCTCATTTGTGGCTCCCCAGCTACTTCACAAGCATCTGCACCTCAGATAATACAAATATACTGTGGAGGTATCGTAGGTTCAAATCCAGACCACTGCAATAAAATACATATCACAATGAAGACAGTCACATAATTTTTTGGTTTTCCAGTGCATATAAAAGTTATGTTTACACTCTAGTATAGTCTACTAAGTGTGCAATAGCATTATGCCAAAAACAATACACATACCTTAATAAAAATGCCTTATTGCTAAAAAATGATAACAATTATCTAAGCCTTCTGTGAGTTATAATCTATTTACTGGTGGAGGGTCTTGCCTTGATGTTGATGGTTGCTGACTTATCAGAGTTGTGGTTGCTGAAGGATGGGGTGGCCATGACAACTTCTTAAAGACAATCATGGAGTTTCCACATTGATTGACTCTTCCTTTTATAAACTATTTCTCTGTAGCATATGATTCTGTTTGATGACATTTTACCCACAGTAGAACTGCTTTTGAAATTGAAGTCAATCCTCTAAAATTGTGCTTCTGGTTTATCAACTGAGTTTATGTAATATTCTAAGTCATTTGTTTTAATTTCAACAATGTTTAAAATATCTTCACTAGAAATAGATTCAATCTCACTTTCTTTGCTCGTCCATAAGAAGCAGCTCCTCATCCGCTCAAGTTTTATCAAGAAATCATAGCAATTCAGTCTAATCTTCAGATTCCACTTCTAATTCTAGTTCTCTTGCTATCTGCACCACATCTGCAGTTACGTCCCACAGGCAAGATTGAACCCCTCAAAATCTTCCATGAGATTTAGAATCAACTGCTTCTAAATTTCTGTTAATGTTGATATTTTTCTACCCTCCCACAAATTATGAGCTTAATAAAATCTAAAATTACAGATTATTTCCAGAAGTTTTTCAATTTACTTTACCCAGATCCATCAAATAAATTACTACCTATGGAAGCTAAAGACTTATGCATTTATTAAGTAATAAGATTGGAAAACTCAAAATTACTCCTTGGTCCATGGGCTTCAGAAAGGATGTTGTGTTAACAAGTATGAAAGCAACGTTCATCTTCTTGTGTATATTCATCAGAGCCCTTGAGTGACCAGGTGTATTGTCAATGAGCAGCAATATTTTGAAAGAAATCCTTTCTCTTAAGCAGTAAATCTCAACAATGGGCTTAAAATATTTCAGAAACCATGCTGTAAACAGATGTGTTGTCATTGAGGCTTTGTTTTTCCGTTAATAGAGCATAGGCAGAGTAGATTTAGCATAATTCTTAATGGCTCTAGGATTTTAAAATGGTAAATGAACTTGGCTTTAACTTAAACTCACCAGCTGCATTAGCCCTTATCAGAAGTTAGTCAGTCCTCTGAGGCTTTGAAGCCGGACATTGATTTGCTCTCTAGCTATGAAGATCCTAGATGGCATCTTCTTCCACTACAAGGCTGTTATGTCTACATTGAAAATCTGTACTTTAGTACTGTATTGTCACCAAAGATCTTAGCTAAACCTGGATAACTTGCTGAAGCTTCTCCACTATCACTTACTGCTTTACCTTGCACTTTTATGTTATGGAAATAACTTCTTTCCTTAAAACTCATGAACCAATTTGCTAGCTTCCAACTATTATTCGGAAGCGTTCTCACTCTCTTAGCCTTCACAGAATAGAAGAGAGGAGAGCCTTACTGTGGGTTAGGTTTCGATTTAAGGGAATGTTGTCGCTGGCTTGATCTTCTATCCAGACCATTAAAATTCTCTATATCAGCAATAAGGCTGTTTCACTTTCTTATCATTTGTGTGTTCACTGGAGTCGCATTTTTAATTTCCTTCAAGAATTTTTTCTTTGTGCTCACAACTTGGCTGTTTGGAGTGACAGGTCTAGCTATTGGCCTATATGAGCTTTCAAAATGTCTTCCTCACTAAGCTTAATCATTTCTACAGTTAGATTTAAAGTGAGAGACTTGTGACTCTTCCTTTCACTTGCACATTTAGAGTCCTTGTACGACAATTAATTGGCCTGATTTAAATATCATTGTGTTTTATAAAATAAAGAAGCTATAGAAGAGGAAAGGAGATGTTAAATACTTTTAGCGATTCCATGATTTATACATATGTGAAACATCATGTTTTTCACCATGAATATATATAATTTTACTTGTCAATGTATATGAATAAATTAAAAAAAGAATGAAAATATAGATGGTCTTGGTTTTGGTGAAGACTTCTCAGATAAAGTAACAAAAGCATAATCCATAAAAGAAATAATTGATAAATTGTGTGCCATTTAAATTAAAATCTTCTGCTCTGCAAATGGCAAGCTACCAATTAGAAGAACATATTTGGAAAACATATATCTGATAAATGACTGGTCTCCAAAATATACAAATAAGACTTTAAATTTAGCAATAAGAAAACAAATAACCCAATTCAAAACTGATCAAAGATCGAAACAGACACCAAACCGGGAATGATATGCACATGACAAGTAACCATATGAGGAGATGCTCAGCATCATAAGTCATTAGAGAATTACAAATTAAAGCAAAAATGTGATACCACTGCATACCTATTAAAATGTACAAAATCCAAAATACTTGCAACATCAAATTTAAAATTACTTAAAGTCAAACACAAGGAGAAAATACTGAAGGCAACAAGATAAGAGTGACTCATCACATACAAGAGAACCCCTAAAAGGTTATTGACATCTCATCAGAAATGGAGGCCAGAAGTCAATGAGATATCATTAAAATTGCTTGGAGAAAAAGGAAAATATACTGCCTATATCCAGTGTTATTATCTTTCAAAAAGGAAGGTGAAATGAAAATATAACCAGACAAACAAAAACTGAAAGAATTATTCCCAGCAGACAAGTCTAACAAAAAATAATAGGAAAGTTCGTAATGCTGAAAGGAGTTAATTGTAGATTTGAATACACACACACACACACTCACACATAGAGAACATCAATAAAAGTAATTATGCAATTATAAAGATAATGTAAATTCACCTTGTGTCTTCTTACTCATAAAATATGTATAATTGCATTTTTGAGCCTATAGTACATAGAAAGGTAGTATATTTCCTAACAACAGCAAATGAAGGTGAGTGGGAGCAAAGCTGCACTGGACTAAGGAAGTGACATCAGATTGTAACTCAAATCAACAAGGAAAAAAACAAAGAAAGAATAAACCCTGAAATGGTAAATATAAAGGTTAACATAACAAATTCTATAAATATATGCTTCCTCCCCTTTCTTCTCTATGCTTTTAGAAAAGCCTTAAAATTATATAAGCTAATAATTATACCAGTGTAGTATTGGCTTTACAACATTTATAGATGCAATATTTTTAATAATATTACCACAAAAATGTGTAAGAGAAAATAAAGCTGTATAGAAAAAAATGTCACTGTACCTTGCTGGAATTAAGTTAATATAAATCTGAAGTGGATCCTGATAAGTTAAGAGATACATCGTAAGCCCTATAGCAACCACTAAGAAAACAGCTTCCAAAAATACAGTTGAAAAAGTTATTTAAAAATTAAAATACTACATCGTAAAATATTCAATTAATGCATAAAATAAAAAAATAAGAAATACGGAAACAAAAGAGACATGAGACACAGAGAACATAAAAAAGTAAAATGGCTGATATAAGTACAACTATTAAATACATACATAATAACATTACATGTAAATTGACTAAGTAATCAATGAAAAGGCAGAGATTCTCACATTGGACAACAAAATAAGATCCAACTATGTCATGCAAACAATCATAAGAAATCTTGCGTTCCCATATTAATAGCAGGCAAAATCAAATTTAAAACCAAAAATGTTATTAGAGATAAAAGGAGACATTTACGACAATAGAGTCTATCAGCAATATGCAACAATTATAAACATATATGAACCTAACAATAGAAGCTCAAAATACCTAAAACAAAATTGACAGTAGGAAATGAAGGAGAAACAGGCATTTCAGCAGTAATAGCGATTTCAGTACCCCACTTTTGGTAATGTATAGAACTAGGTAGAAGATCAAAAAGGATCTAGGAGTTGAGCAATAATACAAACATAGACTGAGCACTCAAATGTGCTATTCCTAAACAGCAGAATATACATGAAACATTTTCCAAGATAAATCATATGCTAAGCCACTAAACAAAGAAAAAAATTAAAAAAAACACCTTTTTTTAAAATTAATACTAGCTTTTTGCAAACTCTTCCAAAAAATGAAGATGAGGGAATGGAACACTCTCCAATTCATTCTATGTGGCCAGTATTACCCTGATACTAAAACCAGACAAAGATACTGTAAGTAAAGAAAACCACAGACCAGAATCTCATATGAATAAATATAAACATAAAAATCCTCAACAAAGTACTAGTGCAGTGAACATGACAACATATAAAAAAGATCAAACACTATGAAAAACTGTTATTTATTCCAGATATGCAAGGGTGAATTCTCATCTGAAAATCAAATAGTACAAAACATCATGTCAATAATAAAAAACATAACAAAATCCACACTATCTTGTTTAGAAACAGAAAAGCATTTGACAAAATCCAACATTTACGATAAAGCAATCAATAAATAAGGAAGAAAAGGGAACATTCTCAATCTGATAAAAGACATCTATGAAAAAAATCCAAAATTAAAATTGCACCTTAATGATAAAAACTAAATGTTTTCCCTCTAAGATCAGAAACAAGATAAGGATACCTGCTCTTGACACTTTGTTTAACTTTGTTTAACATTGAACTAGAAGTTCTAGCCAGGGAAGTTAAGCAAGAAAACGGAAAAAAAAAAAAAAAAAGGTCATCTGTATTGTAAAGGAAGAGCAAAAACTATTTCTATTCATAGATCACATATTTTTATATTAAAATTTTTAATAAATCTACTAGTAGTATATTACTATTAGAACTATGTTCCAATAAACATATTCAAGAAGTTTGTAGGATACAAGGTTATATGAAATTAATTGCATTTCTATATACTTGCACTGATAATTGTAAGGTAAAATTAAGAATACAAGTCCTTTACAAATAACATCAAAAAGAATAAATGAATAGGTGTAAATTTTTTAAAACTTCAAAACTTATATTCTAAAAGTAAAAGGTAATTTTGAAAGAATTAAAGAGGATGTAAATAAGTGGAGTTGAGGATTTCCGTTTGTGTAAATTTTGAAATATTTCTAAAGGTTGTCAACAAATAAAGGTAATTCAAAATTTAAAATTTTTTTAAAAGAATATATACCCCCCAAATAGTTTTGCTGAATCCATGAGTCTAACAACCTAATCAACTGCCCTGATTAAATTTTGTTATCCACCACTGATTTTTTTGAGGATATGTGCTAAATTCAAATTATTTTCATTGATTTATTCTAGTAATTTACTTAGATGACAGTAATTCCTCGTTACTGTATCACATATATAAATAGCATATTTTTAAAAAATTTTGTATATAGAAAATAAAGTATTATTCTCCTCAAGGTTATTTCTTTGAGCTGTGTCATTTAAAGAACAAATTGCCTTTTTAACAACTCATCTTTCTCATATCATGAGGGGCCTTTGCATTCTATGTGATGGCGTCTCCATATCAAATATCTTCTGAAAATCTCACTGGTATTTCTCTTACTTTATTTCTCCCATAATTGGAAATATTTCAGTAAAATTAAATGTAACACAACTTCTCATGGAATTCTTTTGTATACAAGAAAAATTACATTTTATTCATAACTTATTGTTACAGAGCTCAATGAGTGGCTTTTAATAAAGATTCATCTTCTCGTTTAATGGACTAAGGCATTTAGAAAAGCTATCTCCTACCTCCTCTTCCCTAGGCCCTAATAACAATTTAGTTACTGTGATAATTTTCAAGCATAACATAATAAATGACATTAAAGAGAAGACAGGTATAGATAGATGTGTTTCTAATTAAAAAATGCCCTCTCATTCTTCAATCTACTAATATAAGGCATAGTAATCTGATGATATCATGTTTGAAAAGTTACCATTGATACAAGATTTCAGTTAATAATGCATTTAGGGGACAATAGTAGATAAAATTGCTGTAACATAGTAGAGTGGTTATTGCAGCAAGAGATGACTAAAGAAGTACATGGGTCCAAGTCCCAGATGGCCTTAAATGCCAAATAAATGTCAGAGAAATGTTAATAATTATTAAATAGTTACTGACTCTTCCAGGCTTACCATGTATTTAATACCAAACACTGCATAAAACACGCTATCATTCTGAAAATAAATATCTGTATTTTCTCAATAAAGCAACCATATTTTACAGAAAAGAAAAATGGGGAATAGAGAAGTTATGAAACTTAGGCAAAGATATTACAGCAATAGAAAATCTGAGATGAAACCTAAGATTTTAAAATGTGTTGTATGGACTAAGATATTGAGGTATTTTAAGTTGGAGGATTTTATGGCATACTCTAGTAGCAGAAGGTGGTCGGCTGGAAGGACAGTGCCTCAGATGGCGTAGTGTTAACAAAAGTTGACAACTGGCATCTCCTTCCTTCTTACACATCCATCTTTTTATATTTCTTTATTCTGCTGGTTTCTGTGATACAACATCCTGATTTTCCTCCTCTCTCTTTGTCTTTTTTTTCCCTCTAATCTATTGCCTATTTTTGTCTTCAGTCTTTTTGCTTACCCCTAGGAAATCTTGTCCACCCCCATATACTTCTGTATCCATGTGTATCATTCACAGATCTGCAACTTTTGGGACTCTCTCCTCAGCACTAGTTCTAAGTATTCCATTTCTATATCGGTACTCAAATCTATATTATTTCTATATTAAACCAAATTTTTTTCATTCCCACTGCTATTATTGTCTTAGCTCAGGTTTATTCCATTCCTTTCCTATGTTATTCCAGAAGCCTACTGATCAGTTATCTGGAATTTGTTTTCCTCTTTTAAATTGACTATCAGAGTGCTTTTATGAGATGTAAAACTGATTTATCATAGCTCAAGGCATAAGGTTTACAGTTCATAGTGCTTCGTAATGGATATACAATGCATATAGACACCATTATTGGTTGATGATGTTTTCTTCTTTATTATAACTGGTATTATTACTTGTTAATAGAATTTGTAACAAATAAATTGTGATCTATTAGTTGCTAGTCTAACCTGATTAGAACCTAGTGAATTCAGAGAATCTCACATTCTTTTTTCAAAATGTGCTTTAATTCCAAAGTGACTCAGATTTTTGAGTCACGTAACCCTAAAATTTTCCCTAGCCTATCAAGTGAAGAAGAATAAAAAAATCTTGTTTCCTCAATATTATAAGTTTCTATAATTGTCTAAAACCACCAGTTTAAAGGATAAGATACTTTTATATTATAATGTCTCAAATAAGAAATTATAAACTAGGTCCTACTTGATCTAAAGGAAAAATATCAAAAATATTTACACTAAAAGATTATCACTAGAACTCCAAGTCTACCACCAAATAGCTGTATAAATAGCTCAGGAAAAACACCAAAATCACAGTCTCATCATCTGTAAAATGAATTGTCAAATATGTGTACCCAAATCTCCTCTTCAAATCTATGATCTATTGACTTGTTTTTCATATGTGTCTATTTTGCCATGACGGTTAATAACTTTTTATGCTTTTCTTTTTTCTGCAATGTACTTTTTCAATATATGCATTCTTTTCTCTGTCTTTCTCGAATATTGTGGGTTTTTTATTTGCTTGTTTTTTTTCTTTGTTTAGTATACATATACATGTCAGGGGGCGTGTATTTTGTTATTTCACCGACTATGTAGGTCTAAGAAAAAAAAGTATTCATATATTGTATTTGAAATAAGTGATAAAGCAGTAGGGTGTGTGTGTGTGTGTATTTTGTTTTGCCGCTGACTGTAGGTCTAAGAAAAAAAAGAATTTACGTATTGTATTTGAAATAGGTGATGATAACAATAAAGAGGTAGACTGAAATAAAGTCTGAGGAACAAGATTCAGATAAGTTATAAAACATATATAGACCAGGATTTGTGGCTAGAAAACCAGGAAAAGCATCCAAAGTTTGACTTCTGCCAAATTGATTTTCGTACTGTCTTCCATGAAAGTTGTAAAGGATTTTCTCAACCTAAAACATATATATGTACTTAATATTTTTAATTCCATTTAGATTTATGAGGATTAACAAATATATAATTGTATTACTTATATCTTACCCTAACACATGCAGAGTATATAACACCTATTAAGAAAACAAAAGGAAATATCACATCTCCATAGCCAATGATCATAATAGGATTTTTAAAAATAATGTTAGACTTTCAATGTTTCATTTTCTTTTTCTGTCATTTTCCTATGGAATGTTTCTTTTGGATTCATTCACTTCTTTTTATCAAGAAATCATCATAGTGCCTGACATGAGATAGATTTTTGAAAACTAAATACATGGAAAATACATACGTGTGTATAGAGTACAAACTGCTCTCTGGCTCTGAAATTCTTCTCCTAATGCATGATTAAATTGGAGATGAGAATAAACCTATCCAGTAATTAGTGTTAGCCTGTAGTTTGAATAAGTGCAGTAGGTAGATTGTTCATGGTTTCTCTGTAATGTATACTGGATTATGGCCCTGCCTGGGCTCTAGAATGCTTTTTACAACAAAATAGGTGACACTTGATGCCTTCTTGCTTTTCACTTACATTTCTAAATAACAGTTTTATTATAGCATCCTGAAATATCTCATAGATTCAGGAGCTATTAGAGTTAAACATTTTTAATTAATTATGTAATTTTCTAAACTTTAAAAAGTTTTCATTAAGCTGAGATATTAAAATCAATGTCACATTAAAGAATTTTGGTTTATTTAGTAGTTTCTATTGCAGATATATCCTAATTGCATATAAGTCAAGAGAGTTATATTAATATGGGCTGCCTTGCCATTAAACACAGATTATTTTAATGTTAAAACACATTAAGATAAATATTTTCAGACATTTAGGCTTAAGACACTCTAATATGTTGATGACGACTGGTAAAACCCACAGAAGTCAAAGTAATGGATCTAGGTAATTTATTCAAATTATTTCGCCTTCCTATATTGCACAGACTCTAGAAACATTAATCACATTTGTTATTATAAAAATATAATAAACATATGGCCACAAATGAGACTCCATGGCTTCATATGTTTGCATATATTTGAAGTAAACCATCTCTAATATACACTTTATCATTAGAGTGTATATATTTTATTTATATTGTAAAATATCAATGCCTATAATATATAGACAGGGATCAGCCTCTAGGCAGTATTTCTAAGATATTTGCTGATCAATATATTCTAAGTGCTAATTATTTAATATTTATGCTCCCACTTTTATATAATGATTACATACTAGTAATGCAATACTTTTCTGACTTTCTGCCTTTGAAAAATGTCCAACAATTATATTTCACATTTAATAATTGTTTGAATTTATCATATTTACTTCCTCTCTGATTTTGTTGAACTATTTTATAAAATATTAAAAACATGTTTCATCTTTTTATGCTGTTATGCATCTCTGAACAATAAATATGTCTTCATAGTTTATCATAATGCTAGTAATAATAAGCTTTTCAGACATTACAGAAGGCCCCCCAGACTTTCTGACTTGGATATAACAGATTCAGTTTGCAATGAGCAGTTCTGGAGTCATGGTTACGTGGTGCCAGAGTTAAGTGTTGCTTATCCACAAAACTCCACTTGCACACCAGGAGCTGTCTCTCAAAAGATATAAAATAACAGCTGCAAATGTCATGGTCTTGCTCCCAGTTGGGGGGCACCTATTCGCATTATAAATGAAAAAGCTTGACAGTGTCTTTTATTATATGAAAGAAATAGGCCACTCCTGTAACTGCTGAGTATTCATGCAGCCTACAGAGCCAAATTTTTTATCTATCTTGATATTCTTATCTCATATTTTAGGGTGCCAGTTTTTCCCAACAGGGCTCTGACCTTAGTTAACATAATATAACTACATTAACTCAGCATGTAACACATCTGGAGCTCTTCAATTCTATTAACTCCTATATCTGCTAATAAGCTCTGATATCCATTGCAGGATATCAGTCTCTTTGCAATCTATCAATGATTCCTTCTGCCTCCCCTAGCCTTAACTATTTAACTGCCCTCAGTTAGTCATTATCCTTCTTTAGTGTCAATTTCACTTAGTAATAATCAGCCAACTTTGATGTCTTTGTAAGTACTGTTTCCTGAATATCTTTTAAATGTCTGCCTCACTATATCAGCAAGAACATTTTCCTTCGTGGATGTTTTCCCAGGCCAACACTGGTGAAATCTTCAGCATTGTGGCTGCCATCTCATGCCAGGGACTAACTATGCCTCATATTCCAAGACAGTCCTTTCAGCTGAATGATGAGTGAGTTACTTCCAAAACTCCAACTTACTGCTGTTTTTTTGGAACCCCTACTCAGTACCAATTATGCATTTGGGGTCCTCCAAGAAGCAGATGTTAACGTGGAATCAGACATGCAAGAGATTTATTGGAGGAAATTCTGGTGAAACACGTATTGGAAGGGAGCAAGAGGAATTAGGAAAAGCATTTAGACAATAACACAATTCTCACAACTGTGAGGGAGCATAAGAACGGTGGTTTGGGTAGGAGCAGTTTTAGATTGCAGGGCTTTTTTTGGTTGCTGTTTTGTTTTTGTTTTTTGTTTTTGTTTTTCTTGAGGAAGTTTTTAACAGGCTGATGATATGTCCACTAGCAAAGGCTGCCAACTGGAGTAATTGTGAGACTGGTAGAAATAGACCAGCAAGAGTGTCCCTTCATGTCCATTCATAGTCCAGAAGCAGCCTGAGAAAGTTGTTACCATGGTGCAGTTGCAATGATGAATGGAGTTGCAATCATGAGTCCAAAGGGTCAAAACCCAGAGCTGTAGTCATTATGCACCCCACAACAAGTTCTCTTGACGGAGATCTGAGTGCGCACATTTATGGCCACTGCACTGAGACTTGAATGGATTCATGAGAAATGTTTCTTCCAGGAATATAAAGTTGCAGTCTATATTTATGTGACAATTGCTTAAAGATTGTAAATTATGTAAATATATTAATAAATTCTAAGTTTCACTTAAAAAAAGAAAGGAAATATTTTAAAATTTATTTCATTTTATTTCAGCTGATGTTTGTACTAATATTTTCTTTTGGTATATTATTCTATGTACTGGATATATATCATACTTTATAACTAGCTTTTGCCTTCTAGATTCCACTAAGTTTCAGATATAAAGACTGCACCAATGTGTGGGTCACCTTCAGCCACACCTAAAATAAATCTTTTCACCATCCATTCCTTCTGATATCAGTGACCTTTCCCTCAGAGTCTTCAACTATTCTAAAGTTTCAATTCAAAATTCTTCACTTCTGCTTTTTTTATAATTTTTCTTCACTTATTTGTCTACATTCACTAATTCCCTGTTTTAAAATTAATTCTCAATTGGAGAATCATTCATCTACAAGTAGCCAAAAAGGAATGTAGAAATAAACATGCTTAGACCAGAAATCACTCTGCCAGCTAGCCTGAGTTACTAAGTCCCAGTGTTAACACTTTCCATAGTAACATACTTCAAATTCAAACCAACCAACTTGACTGCTTTGAATACTTATTATCTGAATCTATACATCAATTAGATACTAAAGAGTCATTTGGCATTATATTTATTTTACTATTTAAATATCATTTAAATCAAAATATATGAGATAATTAAAGCTTTTGAGAGAACAACAAAAATATGGGATGATAATGCTCTAATAAGTTAATATTTATTTTAATTTCTGTATGGTTGTCTGTGTAACTTTTAGCCATTTGGGGGAAAAGTGTCTGTTTAATATGATTATAGTTGTTATATTACACAATGTATAGGTGTATTTCAAAAATATTCGTTCAGGCCAGGTGTGGTGGCTTACGCCTATAACCCTAGTACTTTGAGAGGCCGAGGCTGGTGGATCACTTGAGGTCAGGAGTTCGAGACCAGTCTGGCCAACACGGTGAAAACTTGTCTCCAGTAAAAATACAAAAATTAGCTGGACAAGGTGGCATATGCTTGTAATCCCAGCCACTCAGGAGGCTGAACCATGGGATTCACTTGAACTCAGGAGGCAAAGGTTGCAGTGAGAAGAGATTGCACTACTACACTCCAGCCTGCATGACAGAGTGAGACTCCATCTCAGAAAAAAATAAAGAAGTTTGGTCAGTGTTTATTTATTTTAGAAACAGATCCTTGAAAGCTGTAAAATTCCAAGAAAGGATATAGCTTCTATTGAGCAAATTTCTAAATGAAAATTGAAATAAACATGTCAGATTTTCATAACCTTTAGTACTGATACCAAATAATAGGTGCAGCTTCTAAGTAATGTACTCCTACAATGCTTACGAGCTCTTCAATTTATTTGAAGCATAATATTTCTCATAGCAAATAACAGTCCTGTCTAGATGCACAGTTTGCTCTCAGAAATGCTCCAGGTTGAAATGTCTTCTGTTAAATATATCTGTAGGTGTTGAATCTTCTTATTTTCCTTAGTACTACGTTCTCAGCTGTGAGCTAATGCCATTTTTGTTACACTGAATCTCTTTAAGCCATTTGTCATTTTAATGGACAGATATTAAAACTTTCTTAAATTCCAGATTGGATTCATCTACAGTTCATAAAGATTTATCATCAGTGTTCATCTTCAGGACTAAGAGCAGCAAATAATATCTAACATAATGGTCTTCAGTATGTTCCCTTTCTGCTTATGAGTAGTAATGCCATTAATAAATATGAAGGGATTTTTTGCGTATGACTTACTGTGGTTGTTGTTTCATGCAAATATGAAATTCTAAAATAAATAATAAATTTCAGTATTATACGAGTTAATTATAAAATAATTCAAACAAAAAGGATTTTAGATCTTTCCTCCATTGTTGTTCATTGTTTTCTGGTATCCTATCTTTATTCACTCTCAACCTTTTTTTATAAAGCTCCAAAACTGAATTTGCCGTCATTTATATGAATATTTAACTTCAGACATTACTATCATTCACTAATATATCTGGATTTTCTCCTCATTAAGAGACATGGGTTCTTATACTCCTGTGCCCCTTTGAAGATAAGCAAACTTTTTTATGCATAATTTTCAGAAATATATATTTAAGCAGAAGTGGTTCGTTGTTTATGCTCTTTTATTTAAAAGTAGTTATCATAATGGTATGTCTTAATTGTGAGGTTGCACCTGAATGACAGTAAATGTGGAGTTACTACATGGAAGATAGCTACATTGGACAGTCATCTGATCATGGAAAGAATTTTGTTGTGAGTGAGAAGTAAGTTTTGCTGTGAAAAACTATTGAACTTGATAACTTATCTTGACAACAAGAAGCTTTCTTTACTGAGACCATTCTTTTGCACGTTGTTAACTCATATCTGTGATACTTATTACTATTCTTCAGGTATTTATCACTATTTTTAAATAATACCAATCTATATGTGTCCAGTTTTTCCACCTTGTTCTTTGCAATCATTTTCCCAATTATGCCAGAATTTATCTTTTTTCTCTATTTCTAATTTATTTGCAGTCTATGCCATTTTATCTACCTTTTCTCTATTTATTTCTATTTTATCTGTAGTCTATGCCATTAGTCACCATAATGGGTACTCTATGCCACAGTGGTTACAAAAGTAACTTACTAGAGTACACAAAAAATTAAAATTTAATTTATATGTATGTTTCTATTAAAATATTTAAAAGTAATAAATTTTTTGCATATTTTATTCTGCTGTCAAAGTTTCTGCATATCTGACATTCAATTACTGTGCATCTTAAGTGGTACACAATCCATCTTAAGAAATGAATAAGAACTCTATCATATGCAGAAGTTGGAAATGGACCCTTTGAATTCTTATTTTATTTCAGTACATTGAAATGCATTGCTGTAAATATGTAGTTTAAACACGTGATATTGAAGATAAGAAGAAATACAAAAACAAACCACGAGGAGATATGCTTCATGTACTCCTCTTTAGTCATACTTACTAAATGAGATCTGAAAAGATCAACAAAAAATCATCAAGTCTAGCTGAAATTCAGCCTGAAAATTCAAAATAATCAGAAAAATTATATTCAATAAGGATCTACCTCATAAAATGATTTAATAAAGCTAAATATAAATATTTTATAATTAATGTGTTATATTTTTATATTTTTAATTTATAAGTTGAACATCTTTTATGACATACATATGTTAATACAGTTGTACATATATAGGTTTTATAAATAAATCCATAAATATATATGCTAGTTTTTGATAAAGATGCATACATATTGAAAAACTCACATAAACAAAAATATTTTCATTGTGTTTTTCTTCATTATTTTAACATCTATTAGTATTGTATGGAATCAATATTTTAAGCATCCTGAGAACAAGGGAAAAATGTTATGTTAATTTTTCCTCTTTTCTCTATAGAACCTATGACTCTCTTCTGTATATAGGAGGCAGTCAAAGCATATTATGTATGATCATGGTTATTAGAATGCAAAATGTGAAAGTGCTTTTGTGAAAATTGATGTTTAGAAGTTTACATTTTTGATAACATAGCACTATCACAATATATGAACAATCGATGTTTGGATTCCTTAAGCAAATTAGAAAGAATTTTTTTAATGGTATTTAAGGACAATGATGATTATATGTTTATTTTGAAAAACAAATAATCCACTCCATTGATGAAGCAAACTCTTTTTTTTTTTCTTTTTTGAGACAGAGTCTCATTCTGTTGCCAGGCTGGAGTGCAGTGGTGCAATCTTGGCTCACTGCAGCCTCCGCTTCCTGGGTCCAAGCAATTCTCCTGCCTCAGCCTCCAGAGTAGCTGGGAATACAGGCATGTGCCATCACGCCCAGCTAATTCTTGTATTTTTAGTAGAGATGGGATTTCACCAAGTTGGCAAGGATGGTCTCGATCTCTTGACCTCATGATCCACCCGCCTTGGCCTCCCAAAGTGCTGGGATTACAGGCATGAGCCACTGCGCCCAGCCAATGCTAACTCTTAACATAATTCCTGATCTATCCTTCTTTGAAAAAGATTTACATTCCCTGAGAAAATTCATTCTAAGATTTTCTTCCATTATGATATTAAAATAATAATCCCAGGCATCTAAAACTCATTAATATGTTTTATTTTTCTTCAGAAATGATTTACTCTCTATTTTTTAAAACAACCTAAAACATATGATATTACAATAACTATAGCTCCAGGTAAACAGTAAATTTTATTGTATAAGAGTTAACATAATGAAAAGTACTGATGTTCCTAGAGTATGGAACCATAAGTACTTGTTTGCTTTATTTCAAAGAGATCATGTTTATAAGTAGGAACAAGGGTAATATGGACAGCACGCATATACTGCATAATTTTACATCTTACTCTCTGGCTTGAGAAATAATGGATGCTTGCAACACATATATCAGCAATAAAAGTTAAGAAATGAACGCTGGTAACATCTGATTAGTACTTATAGTTTCTGAAGTAAAAGTCAGGGATTATGTTGAAAGTATTTATTTTTTCAATTATGTCTTTGTCTTGGGGTTCTGAATCTTTTTTGCTGTAATAGAATGAAAAGAACCAGTTAATTAACTTCTTTTGTGGGGTGATGGAGTCTTGCTCTGTCACGCAGGGTAGACTGCAGTGGCGTGACCTCAGCTCACTACAACCTCTGCCTCCCCGCTCAAGCAATTCTCCTGCCTCAGCCTCCAGAGTAACTGAGATGACAAGTGTGTGCCACCACGCCTGGCTAATTTTTGTATTTTTAGTAGAGGTAGGGTTTCACCATGTTGGCTAGGCTGGTCTCAAACTCCTGACCTCAAGTGATCCACTCCCAAAGTGCTGGGATTACAGGCGTGAGCCACTGCGCCCAACCAACTGACTTTTAAGCCATGAAAATGGAAAGAGAACCACATGTTTTATATAACAACCATATATATATATAAATCGATTTTTCTTGCGTCATTGTTGTCAGTTCCTAAATTTGTGTCTTTTTCTACATTTTCCAAACAAACACAGTAACAAGTTATAAATAAGCCAAACAATGGAATATAGACTATGTAATGAATAATTTAAAAATAACAAAGCAATAACAAAAAGAAATATAAAATATGCTGACAGAATTAAAATCAAATGTATCTGCCATATCATTAACTACAAATGGGGTAATAAAAATAATTTTAGAGTGAGTTAGGAATAAAATATCTAAACAAGTGCGTAAATGAGAGTGCGACACTGTGTTTAAAAATTCAGATCCTAGAGATTTAAATCTTATTTTGGAAAATCGTGGCTTTTGTATCATGAGCAAGTAATATAGCCAATTTCTAACTCAGTTATATTTTCCAAAATGTGAGTAATGATAGAATCTACCAAGAAGTGTTGTGAGAAAACTAACTAAATACATGTAAAGCACTTACAAAATTGCTCGACTACAGCATCTCATACCTGAGATTTTAGCCTGCCCACCTGTCCAACAGATTTAATACATCTAGATATCCCCAATGGCGACCTCTTGCAAATCTATAGTACAATATCACAACCAGGATATTGACAGAATGCGATCAAGATACATAATATTTTCATCACAGGAATCCCTTATTTACCCTGTTATATCTACACTCAATTCCCTCTTGCCTCCACCCCTCCCTCAACTCTTGGCAATCAGTAACGTGTTCTCCATTTTATAATTGTACAATTCCAAGAATGCTATATACAGGGAATCATTATGTAATATTTTTGGAATGGCTTTTTTGACTCAACATAATTTGCTAGAGATTCATGCAGGTTGTTTGCATAAATCAATTATTCATTCCACTTTATTGTTTAGTAATATAACATGGTATGATATACCATAGTTTATTTAACCATTCACCCTTTGAATTAATCTGAGTTGTTTCCAGTTTGGGCTATTGGAAATATAGCTACTGTAAATATTCATGTACAGCTATTTGTGTGAATGTAAATTTTATTTGAATTAAATGCTCAGGAGTGAAATTGCTGAGCTGTATGGTAGTTACAAGATTAGTATTAAAAATATATTTATTAAAAGAAACTACCATGACATTCTCCAACGTGGTTGTATCATTTCCTACTCCCACCATCAATGAATGAGTGACCCAGTTTCTCTGCATCCTTGATAATGTTTGGTGTTGTCACTATTTTTTTCTTTTAGCCATTGTAACGAATGTGTAGTGAAATCTCATTGCGATTTTTATGTGTATTTCCCAAATGGCTAATAATGTTAAATGGCTTTCATATATTTATCATCTGTGTACCCTCTTCAGTGAAATGTCCTTTCATGTCTTTTGACATGTCCTAATTGGAGTGTTTGCTTTTTACTAATATTTTGAGGGTTTATATACTCTAGATAATAGTGGCTTGTTAGACAGGTGGTTGCAAATATTTTTATCCAGTCTTTAACTTCTCTTTTCATCCTCTCATCCTTTTAATAGGGTCTTTTGCAGGAAAAGAGTTTTTAATTTTAATGAAGTCCAAATAATCAATTTTTCCTTTTATATACAGTAGTTCTTGTGTCAAGTCTAAGAACCCTTGCCTAGTCATGCATCCTAAAGATTTTTTCCTATATTTTCTAAAAAATATACTTTTATACTATACTCTTAGTTTTACATTTAAGACAATGATCCGTTTTGAAGTAATTTTTGTGTAATGTATTAAGACTGTCTGAGGTTCATTTTCTTATTTTTCCTATGTAGGTCCACTTGTTCTTCCATCACGTGTTGAAAAATCTATGCCTTTCCTTCAAGGAATTATTTCTACACTTTGCAAAGATCAGTTTGGCTTATATGTGTGAATCCATTTCTGGGTCCCCTATTTTATTCTGTCAATCTAGGAACTTACCCTTTTCTCAATACCACACAATCTGCATTAACTGTAGTCAAATAATAATGTCTCAAAATTAGGTATATTGATGTCTTGCAATTTATTATTCTTTTCAAGACGTTTTACCTGTTACAGATCTTGAGTAATCTTGCCAAAAAATAATCTTGCCTATATCTACAAAATAACTTGCTTGGATTTTGATATGAATTAAGTTAAATCTGGACATCAATTTGGAGAGAAAAGACATTTTTCTATGTTTAATCATACAATGCATGAATATGGTATACCTCTCTATTTAGATCTTGTTTTAGCTCTCTTTTATCAACATTTTGTAGCTTTCAACATACAAGTGCTGTACATGTTTTGTTAGATTTATATCTTAGTATATTTTGAGCCGTTATGAATTGTATTACGTTTCTAATTTTAGTATCCACATGTTCATTGCTAATATGTAGATACACAATTGATTTTTGCATCTCCGCCCTGTATCATTGAGTGCCCTCTGGGGCACCTTCAACAGGCAGCAATCTTTGCAGTTCTGCAGCCTCCGCTAGTGCTACTCAGGCAAACAGGGTCTGAGTGGACCTCCAGCAAACTCCAGGAGACCTGCAGCACAGGGCCCTGACTGTTAGAAGGAAAACTAACAAACAGAAAGGAATACCATCAACATCAATGAAAAACCCCACACAAAACACGCATCTGAAGGACACCAGCATCAAAGACCAAAGGCAGATAAATCCATGAACTTGAGGAAAAATGCGTGCAAAAAGGCTGAAAATTACAAAAACCGCAACACCTCTTCTTCTCCAAAGGATCACAACTCCTCGCCAGCAAGGGAACAAAACTGGATGGAGAATGAGTTTGATGAATCGACAGAAGAAGACTTCAGAAGGTGTGTAATAACAAACTCCTCTGAGCTAAAGGAGCATGTTCTAACTCAATGCAAGGAAGCTAAGAACCTTGAGAAAAGGTTAGAGGAATTGCTAACTAGAATAACCACTTTAGAGAAGAACATAAATGACCGGATGGAGCTGAAAAACACAGCACAAGAACTTCGTGAAGCATACACAAGTATCAATAGCCGAATTATTCAAGCAGAAAAAAGGGTATCAGAGATTGAAGATCAACTTAATAAAATAAGGTGAGAGGACAAGAATAGAGGAAAAGGAAAAAACAAACCCTCCAAGAACTATGGGACTACGTGAAGAGACCAAACCTACCTTTGATTGGTGTACCCGAAAGTGACCAGGAGAATGAAACCAAGTTGGAAAACACTCTTCAGGATATTATCCAGGAAAACATACCCAACCTAGCAAGACAGGCCAACATTAAAATTCAGGAAATACAGAGAACACCACAAAGATACTCCTAGAGAAGAACAACCCCAAGACACATAATTGTCAGATTCACCAAGGTTGAAATGAAGGAAAAAATGTTAAGGGCAGCAAGAGAGAAAGGTCAGGTTACCCATAAAGGGAAGCCCATCAGACTAACAGCAGATCTCTGCAGAAACCCTACAAGCCAGAAAAGAGTGGGGGCCAATATTCAACATTCTTAAAGAAAAGAATTTTCAATTCAGAATTTCATATTCAGCCAAACTAAGCTTCATAAGCGAAGGAGAAATAAAATCCTTTATGGACAAGCAAATGCTGAGAGATTTTTTCACCACCAGGCCTGGCTTACAAGAGCTCCTGAAGGAAGCACTAAATATGGAAAGGAAAAACCAGTACCGGCCACTGCAAAAACATACCAAATTGTAAAGACCATTGACACTATGAAGAAACTGCATCAACTAACGGGCAAAATAACCAGCTAGCATCATAATGACAGGATCAAATTCACGTATAACAATGTTAACCTTAAATGTAATCAGGCTAGATGTCCCAATTAAAAGACACAGACTGCCAAATTGGATAAAGAGTCAAGACCCATCGGTGTGCTGTATTCAGGAGAGCCATCTCACTTGCAAAGAAACATATAGGCTCAAAATAAAAGGATGGAGGAATATTTACCAAGCAAATGGAAAGCAGCAAAAGCAGGGGTTGCAATCCTAGTCTCTGATAAAACAGACTTTAAACCAATAAAGATCAAAAAATACAAAGAAGGGCATTACATCATGGTAAAGGGATCAATGCAACAAGAAGAGCTAACTATCCTAAATATATATGCACCCAATACAGGTGCACCCAGATTCGTAAAGCAAGTTCTTAGAGATCTACAAAGAAACTTAGGCTCCCACACAATAATAGTGGGAGACTTTAACACCCCACTGTCAATATTAGACATATCAATGAGACAGAATTTTTTTTTGTTATTATACTTTAAGTTCTAGGGTGCATGTGCACAATGTGCAGGTTTGTTACATAGGTATACATGTGCCACATTGGTTTGCTGCACCCATCAACTCGTCATTTACATTAGGCATTTCTCCTAATGTATCCCTCCCCCAGCCCCCACCCACAACAGGCCACAGTGTGTGATGTTATCTACAGAACTCTACACCCCAAATCAATAGAATATACATTTTCTCAACACCACATTATACTTATTCTAAAATTGACCACATAATTGGAAGTAAAACATTCCTCAGCAAATGCAAAAGGCTGAAAATCATAACAGTCTCTCAGACCACAGTGCAATCAAATTAGAACTCAAGATTAAGAAACTCACTCAAAACTGCACAACTACATAGAAACTAAACAACCTGCTCCTGAATTACCACTGGGTAAATCACTAAATTAAGGCAGAAATAAGTAAGTTCTTTGAAACCAATGAGAACAAAGACATAATGTACCAGAATCTCTGGGACACAGCTAAGGCATTGTTTAGAGGGAAATTTGTGGCACTAAATGTCCACAGGAGAAAGCGGGAAAGATCTAAAATTGACACCTTAACATCACAATCGAAAGAACTAGAGAAGCAAGAGCAAACAAATTCAAGAGCTAGCAGAAGACAAGAAATAACTAAGATCAGAGCAGAACTGAAGGGGATAGACACATGCAAAACCCTTCAAAAATCAATAAATCCAGAAGCTTGTTGTTTTGAAAAGATTAACAAAATAGATAGATTGCTAGCCAGACTAATAAAGAAGAAAAGAGAGAAGAATCAACAGATACAATAAAAATTTTAAAAAGGATATCACCACTGATCCCACAGAAATACAAACTACCATCACAGAATACTTTAAACACCTCTATGCAAATAAACTAGAAAATCTAAAAGAAACAGAAAAATTCCTGGACATATACACCCTCCCAAGACTAAACCAGGAAGAAGTCAGATCCCAGAATAGAATAATAACAAGTTCTGAAACTGAGATAGTAATTTATAGCCTACCAACCAAAAAAAAACCTAGGACCAGACAAATTCACAGCTGAATTCCCCCAGAGGTACAAAGAAGAGATGGTACCATTCCTTCTGAAAAGATTCCAATCAATAGAAAAAGAGTGACTCCTCTCTAACTCATTTTATGAGGTCACCATCATCCTGATATGAAAACCTGGCAGATACACAACAAAAAAGGAAAATTTTAGGCCAATATCCCTAATGAACATCGATGCAAAAATCCTCAAAATCCTCACAGCCCAAAATTTCCTTAAGCTGATAAGCAACTTCAGCAAAGTCTCAGGTTACAAAGTTAATGTGCAAAAATCACAAGCATTCCTATACATCAATAATAGACAAACAGAGAGCCAAATCATGAGTGAACTCACATTCACAATTGCTACAAAGAGAATAACATACCTAGGAATACAACTTACAAGGGATGTGAAGGACCTCTTCAAGGAGAACTGCAAACCACTGCTAAAATAAATAACAGAGGATACAAACAAATGGAAAACCATTCCATGCTCATGGATAGGAAGAATCGATACTGTGAAAATGGCCATACTGCCCAAAGTAATTTATAGATACAATGCTATCCTCATCAACCTACCATTGACTTTCTTCTCAGAATTAGAAAAAAATGCTTTAAATTTAATATGGAACAAAACAAGAGCCAGTATGTATAGCCAAGACATTCCTAAGCAAAAAGAACAAAGCTGGAGACATCACTCTACGTAAGACCTAAAACCATAAAAACTCTAGAAGAAAACCTAGGCAATACCATTCAGGACATAGGCATGGGCAAAAACTTCATGACTAAACACCAAAAGCAATGGCAACAAAAGCCAAAATTGACAAATGGGATCTAATTAAACTAAAGAGCTTCTGCATAGCAAAAGAAACTATCATCAGAGTTAACAGGCAGCCTACAGAATGGGAGACAATTTTTGCAATCTATCCATCTGATAAAGGGCTAATATCCAGAATCCACACGGAACTTAAACAAATTTACAAGAAAAAAACAAATAGTCCCATCAAAAAGTGGATGAGGGATGTGAACAGACACTTCTCAAAAGAAGGCATTTATGTGGCCAACAAACATGAGAAAAAGCTCATCATCACTGATCATTAGAGAAATGCAAGTGAAAACCACAATGACATACCATCCCAGGACAGTTAGAATGGTGATCACTAAAAAGTCAGGAAACAACAGATGCTGAAGAGGATGTGGAGAAAGAGGAACGCTTTTACACTGTTGCTGGGAGTGTAAGTTAGTTCTACCACTGTGGAAGATAGTGTGGTGATTCCTCAAGGATCTAGAACCAGAAATACCATTTGACCCAGCAATCCCATTACTGGGTATATACCCAAAGGATTATAAATCATGCTACTATAAAGACACATGCACACATGTGTTTATTGCAGCATTATTCACAATAGCAAAGAATTGGAACCAACCCAAATGTCCATCAATGATAGACTGGATAAAGAAAATGTGGCACTTATACACCACGGAATACTACACAGCCATGAAAAAAGAATGAATTCATGTCCTTTGCAGGGACATGGATGAAGTTGGAAACCATCTTTCTCAGCAAGCTAACACAGGAACAGAAAACCAAACACCATATGTTCTCACTCATAAGTGGGAGTTGAACAATGAGAACACATGGACACAGAGAGGGGAACATCACACATCGGGGCCTGTTGGGGGGTGGGGGGCTAGGGGAGGGATAGCATTAGGAGAAATACCTAATGTAGTTGACAGGTTGATGGGTGCAGCAAACCACCATGGCATGTGTACACCTATGTAACAAACCTGCACGTTCTGCACATGTATCCTAGAACTTAAAGTATAATAAAAAATAAAAAATAAAATGTCATAATACTTCCATATAACATACACACATCCTCCTATATACTTCAAATAATCTCTAAAAAAAGGTTTCTTTTATTCTTAGTTTTCTTAGTTTTTAAATTGTGAATTAGTGTTGAATTTTATAAAATACTAGGTCATCAATTGATATGATCATGCAATTTTTCTTCTTTAGCCTGTTGATATGGTGAATTAGATATATTGATTCAGAATATCTAAAAAGCCGTGTTTCCCTTGAATAAACCTCACTTGATCATAGTGTATAATTATTTTTATATATTGCAGAATTCCATTTGCTTATATTTCGTTAAAGATTTGTGTCTACATTCATGATAGATATTGGTCTTCAGTTATTTATGTTTCTGTTGTTGTTGTACCTTTGTCTGGTTTTGGTATCAGGGTAACATTAGCTTCATAAAATAAACTAGTCATATTCCCTCATATTTACTCTATAAAAGATTGGGTAAGATTGGTCTTAGTTCTCTTTTAAACATTTGACAGGCCAGGCATGGTGGCTCACACCTGTAATCCCAGCACTTTGGGAGGCCGAGACAGGTGGATCACGAGGTCAGGAGATCCAGACCATCCTGGCTAACATGGTGAAACCCCCGTCTCGACTAAAAATACAAAAAATTAGCCAGGCGTGGTGGTGGGCGCCTGTAGTCCCAGCTACTTGGAGGCTGAGGCAGGAGAATAGCGTGAACTCGGGAGGTGGAGCGTGCAGTGAGCGGAGATCACGCCACCGCACTCCAGCTTGGGCGACAGAGCGAGACTCCGTCTCAAAAATAAACAAGTAAAAATAAAAATAAAATAAAATAAAACATTTGACAATATGTTTTAGAGAAGTTAGCTATGAATATGTATTGTGTGGAAGTTTTAAAGTTATACATTCATTCCCTTAATATTACGCTGCTACTGTATTATTTATTTCATATTAGGTGTGTTGTATTTTCTGCCTTTTCAGAAATTGTTTTTTTCTAAGTTGTCAAATATATGTGTATAGAGTTATTTATAGTATTTCTTTATTACAGTTTGATATCTGCATGGTCTGTAGTGAGATCCCATGTGTCATTACTGATACTAAAATCTGTGTCTTCTTTTTACTCTTGCCAGTGTTGTTATAGAGTTTTAATTATATCTATTTTTTTCAGTTATCCATGTCCTCAATTTTTCTCTATTTTTTAGTTTTCAATTTCTTTGATTTTTACTATTATCTAGGTATTTTTTCTCTGTTTCTTTTGGTTTATGTTGTCTTTCTTTTTCTAATTTTTGAGATTAGAGCTTATATAATTGGTCTGAGACTTTTTCTCTTTTCTTATATAAGTATTTAGTGCTATCAGTTTCCTTCTCAACCTTGCTTTTGCTGTTCAAATATTTAAATATATTATATTGTAGTTAACTAGTTTAATGCACATTTGGATTTTGCTTAAGACTTCTTTGACTCAGATTATTTAGAAATCTGTTTTTTAGTTTCCAAGTATTGAGAGATTCTCCTGTTATTTTTATTTTTAATTTCTAATTTGGTTTCTTTTTATCAGAGAATACATTCTGTATTATCTCAACCCTTTTAACTTTGTTAAGGCTTCTTTCTGACACAGAATGTTGTTAATCTTGGTATGTGTTCTATGAGCACTTGAAAATTTGTATTTTGTTGTTGGGTGAAGAGTTGCATAAATGTCAACTAAAACTTGTTTGTTGATGATGTTGAATTTTTCTCTTTCTTTGCTGTCTTCTGTCTACCTGTTTTGTCAATTATTGAGAGGGCTGATGAAGAGTAACTAAAGTACGATTTGAGATTTGTCTATTTTTTTCTTTCAGTTCTGTAAGTTTTTGCTTCTCATATTTGTGGATGTGCTGCTTACTGCATACACATTAGGACTGCTATTTGTTCTTGATGGATTGACCTTTTTATCATTTTAAAGTCTCTTTCTCTCTTTAAATTTTTTCTTTGTTCTGATTTCAATTTTTTCTAATATTAATATTGCTCCTCTTTCTTTTGATTCTTGTTTACATGGAATACATGTTCTATTCTTTTACTTTCATTATAACTGCATCAATTCATTTGAATTTTTTTCTGGGTGGGCAGCCTATAGTTGGGTCATGTTTTCAATCAATTCTTCTAATTTTTAACACTGGTGTTTCTAGGACACTTATATTTAATACAACAATTGATATGTATGCCTTAAATTTGCTGTTTAATTTTGTATACTTTTTAATCTATGTTTTGTGTATTTTTTCCTGTATTCTTGTGTCTTTCCTGAATTTTTTCAGCATTTCATTTTAATTTACTCGTAATGTTTTTAGATATGTATTTGTATTCCTATTTTAGTTGTTTATTTAGATTAGGTAATATATACACAAAACTCATTACAGTCTCTTGGTGTCATAATTTTAGCAGTTTCATGGAAATGTAAAAACTTACCTTCCTCTATGTTCTTTTAGCCACTTCCATTTATGCTACATTTATCTAGAATAATTCTTATGCCTATTTGAAGCAAATTAGCTAGTGGTATAATTGTGCTTTAATCCTCGACCTTAATTTAAAAAGCTCAAGAGAAGATGAGAACCTAAAGTATTTACCCATATCACTACTCTTTCCATTGTTCGTTCTTTCTTGCTAATATTACAAGATGTTTTATCTATCATTTCCCTTCTATGTGGAGTTCTTTTAGGTATTCTGTTATCATTGGTCTTCTGGTGATAATGCTCCATTTAAGACTGTTCTAAATACCTAATGCACATGGGGCTTAAAACCTAGATGATGGGTTGATAGATTCAGCAAACCACCATGGCACATATGTATACCTATGTAACAAACCCGCATGTTGTGCACATGTATCCCAGAACTTAAAACTAAAAAAAAGAATATTCAACTTGCCCTTTGTTTCTAAAGACTACTTTCACTGGATATAGTATATTGTGTTAATTCTTTTCTTTCTTCACTTTAAAAATTTTGTTCTACTTTATTGCTGTAACCATGAATTTTCAGAAGAAATATTTTGTCATTAGAATTGTTTTCCCCATCAGCTAGAGATTGTTTCTTTCTTTTTGTCTGAAAATATTTTTTCTTATCTTCATTTTTCAGCATTTTGACTGTAATGTGCTTTAGTATCGGTTTCTTTGAGTATTTTGTGGATGAAAGATTCTGTCAGATTCTTCAATCTGTCATTTCATCTCTTTTGCCAAATTTAGAAAATTTTTTGTCATTATTTAAGTCATTTATTTAATCTCTGCCCTCTGTCTACTCTCTTCTAGGAATCCAATGAATTAATGCTATATCTTTTGTTATGATTCCACAGATCCCTGAGATATAAATTTTTTGTTTAGAGTTATAAAGAACAAACTAGAATAGATAAATAGAAATAAGGTCCAGTTTGTTACTATTAGGATAACATTTGGTACTTTTCCATCATACTTTTGTTTTTATAAACTTGTGGATAGATTGCTGTAAAAACATTCTAAAAAGTCATTGATCCAATAACCCAACTTGAACAATTAATTCCCATTTTACACTTTCCAAACAGCCTTCTTTAAACTTTTGCTTTAACATGTTTACTTTCCCATTATTCATACAAGCAATATTCCTTAGAGGTAACTACTTGAGCTTTGTTTCTATTTACTATTCTAGGTCTGTTCTTTATAATTTAAACAATACATTCTTACCTGAGGTGATATTTAATATTTTTAACATCCAATGTACCAAAAGCACATCCACATCTAAATGACTGCACACTGGTATTGAAGTTATGCCAAGATTTGTCTCTTGAGTATTGGCTCTATTTATATCTATATTGGTTACTTTATAAAATGAAAGTATTATCTGGAAACCCACATCAATAAATATACGTAATTTAGCTCATAAATAGTCTTTCTCCCTTAACATATCCCCTTTCCATTTTATTTACGACCTTTTGGTCAGTTAACTTTAAATCTTATTAGGGTTCTCTGTATAGCCTAATATATGGGTAACTCTCTTAAGGATGCCAGGAAATAAAATAAGTAGATTCTCTGATCTTCTGATCTCTCACTCTTTCATACACACACACACACACACACACACACACACACACGCACATACACACACACACATACACATACCTTCTTTATGAATTGACTCTAAGGTTTCTTAAGTCATTATTTTATGAAGAGATAAGGAGATTCTCTGATATTCTGATCTCTCTCTCACACACACACACAGGCACACACACATATACATATAGTTTCTTTATGAATTAACTTTATATAAGGTTTCTTAAGTCATCTTTTTTATTTACCTGATCTGTCATAGCAGAAATCACCTACCAATTATGTGTTTCTAATCTCTTTTGTTTTCTGAGGGTTTTATTTTATGAGTGTAGCCAATTTATAATCCTGTCTCTTCTCAAATAATATTCTTTCCTGTAATATTTAATATTTAGTATTTTTATTTGTTCTCAACAATATTCATTATCTTATTCAAATTTTCACATCTATAAGTGTTTTCACCTACACTACATACAATTTTTAAAACAATGTAGTTTTGTACAAATATTTCTAAACATTAATATATAAAACTTTTCTAATTTATATTCAAAGCTCAGCCGGTAGAAATCTTAAAGGCTTTGACCTAAAGAAGACCTGAGTTCTGTTCCTGGATCTTGCACACAGAAAAAAATCTCCATACTGCCACTTTAGTTCTGCTTCTTCTGCTTCTTGTTTTGTGTAATAATGATAATAACAATTATTAAATGGTATTATTATATAGATCAAATGTTATTTATTCTGTGAAACCACTTGTAATACAAAGCATTAGTTGTCCTTCTTATAATAAAATGTATGTTATTTGCTTGGGACACATGGGTTAACACAATACAACACATCCTTACAGCAATATAGTTTTGTACTAAATCAGAAATTTCAGGAAGCCTTTCCATGCCCTGCACCTACATTTTCTCACTTTTCCAGTTTTCTTGGTAGCCAGTTTATTTAATTTCAGCAAGTTGTGCTCCTGAAAGCAATCATAACACATTACAGAATCTTCCAGATAGAAAATGAGATTTTTATCTCATTTTCTATCAAAAAATATGCCTGTTTCCTTTATCTTGCAATTCATAATTAACTAAAAATAAGCAACCTGCTGTTGATGCTAACAAAGAAATTAAAGACAGAATAATATTCATTTCTATGCATGTGCCTGAACACTCTTCAGAGACACCTGATGTAATTGCCAGTAATAATCTTACACTGATGCTCTTTTACACATCTATGGCTTAAGGTTTACATTTTTTTAAATCCTTTCTGAAAGAGTCAGCTTATCCATGCATATATTAAAACTGCCTGGTCCTTTATTCTGTTCAACATTGATAATGCAAATTATTTCATAATTTTTAGGCCAACTGTTTTAGGTGGAGTAAGATAATATTACTCTTTAGTTAAGTGGGCATATATGTGTATCTGCTTTAAAAATGTAATTGATAAGTTAGAAATTTTGTGTTCTTTTCAATATTAAGATGGATTTTTAGTTACTGAAACTTAGAAAATCACCACCAAGGAAATCATGTCGTCTAAAACTGCTCCAGTAACATAAGAGTTGCTTGAATTCTACCAGACAATCTATTTTTCTCACTAAAGATGTTACCAAGTTGGGGAGTAAAAGATTATATTTTGAATCAAGAATTATAAAAGTGACTCACATAGTAAGTATGTGTTATGGAGCACTACTGTCGCACTCAATTACAGTATGCAGATTTCAGGTGGACCCTCATATTTCTCTTATGCAGGCAGATCATCCTAACCCTAGACTTCTCATAAAAGATTCTAGGCCTGGTGTGGTGGCTCATGCCTGTAATCCCAGCACTTTGGGATGCCGAGGTAGGTGGATCATCTGAGCTCAGGAGCTTGAGACCACCTTGGGCAACGTGGTGAAACCTCGTCTCTACTAAAATACAAAAAATTAGCTGGGCATGGTGGCACACGCCTGTAACCCCAGCTACTCAGGAGGCTGAGGCACGAGAATCACTTGAGCCCCAGAGGCGGAGGTTTCAGTGAGCCGAGATTATACCGTTGCCCTACAGCTTGGGCTACAGAGTGAGACTCTGTATCAAAAAAAAAAAAAAAAAAAAAGATTCTAAAATGACTCTACATCTTTCATTTAGCTATTTTTATTACAATTTTCAATGCAATTGTTGTGATTTTAACAATTTTTTCACATTAATCCATATCTGAGTTCTTCAAAAAATTTTGATTTTGTGACTATCATTGAGGATACACTTGTGTATTCTCCTTATTTCACGGGTTGTTGCTCATCACATTTTTTCAGTTGACCTTATATTCTTTTTTTCTTGCCATTTTTAATGCTTTGTTGGAGTGGATGAAAATGGTAGCCAACATTAATTAGGAATTAAAATTAAGAATATTGCATTTTCTCTAGCATTTATAAATATTTAAAATTTATACCTGAAAGGTCACAGAAGGACCAATTATTGAATCTGTAAAGTTATGCAAGATGCTTCTCTCTCTGATATCTCTTAAGCACTGTTACTAGAACAAAGTGATTTATTTGAGACACATATCCCTTAGGCCTTGAGAGAGGAGAAACAGGTATTTATATTATAGGCATATTTTACAATAATGGATCTGATGTATATATTGCATGAAAAGAAGGTAATTTGTCTGTACCAACAGAAGATCAATGTCCCTTGACCAAAGGTTAAGAATATAGACCACATTAAGAATATTAACCAAGAGACATCTCATATAGCCAACAAGTTCATTTTTCTGTTTTTTTTTTCCAGAATATTTTTAGACCATTTTTTCTCTTGCAAAATGACTAATATAATAAATTATATAAAAGTAGGAAGGGGCAACAAAATGGCAAAATACTTCACTCTAGTAATCATATCCCTAAAGTAATATCCATTTGAACAACTATCCATGAACAAAAATACCTTCACAAGAACTATAAAAAGTACAGATTTCAGGTTATGATACCTGATAGCATGATAATATGAAAAGACGCATTGAAGAGAGTAGAAAGAACAGTATTACATTACTTATGTCACCACTCTCTGACACCAAGGCTGCACAGTGCAGAGAGTTATTGCTTGCTTGGGGTCAAGAGCAGGCAATAACCATAGGACTGTGTTAGACCCCGAACACCAGACCTGACTCAATAATATCCAGAACTGGAAAAACCTGATGGCCCCAGGTTTCAGGCCAGTACCTATAGACAGAGCTTCTAGATCTGCTGCAGTGTCAGGTAGGACCACACAACCCCAAGCTTCTGGCTTGTGTGGCAGACTTGATTTCTCATGCATACCACCACTGAGCCAATGTCAGAGGCCCCAAGTTCCAGACAGCCCTCAGTGTCAGGCAGGCCATAGCAATCTTGAGCATCAAGGGCACCCTAGTGCCACACCAGCCACAATGGGCCCCAAGCTAAGAACTATGCCAAAGAGCCTGCCCAGAATCTTTGGGCAAGCTGACTGCTAAGGGATTTGCCCAGGCTAAGTCAGTTTGTGATGACTGAAATAAGCACCTTTGTCTTCAGATATACAGACATTGATGCATATTCACGAGGATCAAGGACAATCTGGGAAAAATGGCATCACTAAATGGACAAAATAAAGTGCCAGTGAATTACCCTAATAAATGGAGATGTACGAATTGTGTGACAAAGTGTTTAAAATAAAGGTTTTAAGGAAGCCCAGCAAACTTTAAGGAAATACAGAGAAAAATTCAAAAAAAAAGAGAAAACAATGTGAGCAGAATGAAAATTTAATAAATTGAAATTATAGGTATATATATATATATATACACACATAGAGAGAGAGAGAGAGAGAGAGAGAGAGAGAGAGACAGACTGAATCTTACTCTGTCACCCAGGCTGGAGTGCAGTGGCATGATCTCAGCTCAATGCAACCTCCACCTCCCAGGTTCAGGCAATTCTCCTGCCTCAGCCTCCCAAGTACCTGGGATTACAGGTGCCTGCCACCACACCTGGCTAATTTTTTTTTGTATTTTTTTGGTATAGATGAGATTTCACCATATTGGCCAGACTGGTCTCGAACTCCTGACCTTGTGATCCGCCCACCTTGGCCTCCAAAAATGCTGGGATTACAGGTCTGAACCACCATGCCTAGCCTGAAATAATAATTTTTAAAAATTAAGCATCAGCCCTGGAGCTTAAAAATACAGTGAAATAAATAAAAGTGCAAAACCAAAATTGTCATGGAGAGTATCAATAGCAGAATTAAAGAAGAAGAAATAATTTGTAAACTCAAAGACAAATTATTTTAAAATAAAGCCAGGGTAGAAAAAAAATAATGAAAATGAGTAAAGAAAGCATATGAGATTCATGAGGTGGTATCAAAAGAGCAAATTTTTAAGTCATAGGAATTTAAAAATAAGAAAAAAACATGAAGGAGTGGAAATATTATTTAAAAAATAGTAGCAAAATACTTTCCAAACTTAGAAAAAATGTAAATACTCTGATATAGAAAAGAAAATCTCTCCCATCAGATTCAATACAAACAAGACTACACTGTGACACATTGCAATCAAACTGTCAACAACCAAAGAAAAAGAGAAGATCCTAAAAGCAGCATGAGAAAAGAAGCAAATAACATATAAAAGAGTTTTGAAAAAAGGCTAGCAGCAGACCTCTCAGCAGAAGCCTAACAGGCCAGGAGAGATTGGGGTAATATATTCAAAGTGCTAATGGAGAAAAAAGAAAAAGCTGCCAACTGAGAATATTATACACAACAAAATTATCCTTTAGAAATGAAAGACAGATAAAGTCTTTTCCTAACAAAAGCTAGGAGAGTTAATCACCACCTTACCAGTAGACACATTAAAAGATTCACAAATACATGGAAATAAAACAACATACTCTGTATACCCAATAAGTCAATTAAGAAATTGAAACAATAATGTAAAAATTTATCCAAACAAATGAAATGAAAATACAACATAACAAAACTTATGGCATAAAGCAAAGGCAGTTCTAAGAGGGAAGTGAATGGCAATAAACACATCAAATTACAAAGAAAGTTCTCAAATAAACAATTTAATGTTGCACCTCAAGGAACTGGAATAACAAGGACAAAATGAGCCCAAAGTTAGCAGGAGAAAGGAAATAGCAAATATCAGTGCAGAAATTAACAAAATGAAAACTAGAAAAAATAATAGAAAAAATAATAAAACTGATTTTTTTAAAAGATAAACAAAATCAACCAACCTTTACCTATGTAAGAAATGAGAGAAGACCCAATAAGGAAGATGAAAAATGAGCCATTATAACTGATACCACAGAAATATAAAGGATCATAAAAGACTATAAATAATAATAGGCCCCCAAATTAGATAATCTAGAAGAAAAGAATAAATCCCTTGGCAAATATAACCTGCCAAGATTAAATTATAAAGAATAAAAATCCTGAACAGACCAAGAATAAAAAAGGAGATTCAATCAGTAATAAAAAGTCAACCATTAAGAGAAAGCCTAGACCTAATGAATTCAGTGCTGAATCTTACCATTTAAAGAATTATTAACAATTCTTCTCAAAATCATTCAAAACATTGAAGAAGAGAAAATACTTTCAGACTCATTTTATAAGGCCAGCACTACCCTTATACCAAAGACAGACAAAGATATCACAAGAAAAAAAAACAAAAACAAACAAACAAAAAACCTAAAGGCAAGTATTGCTAATGACCATAGATTGAAAAATCTTCAACAAAATCAAATTTGTGGCTGGGCTCAGTGGCTCACACCTGTAATCCCAGAACTTTGGGAAGCCAAGGTGGGCTGATCATGAGGTCATGAGATCCTGGCTAACATGGTGAAACCCCATCTCTACTAAAAATGCAAAAAAATTAGCCAGGCATGGTGGGGGGCACCTGTAGTCCCAGTTCCTCGGGAGGCTGAGGCAGGAGAATGGTATGAACCTGGGAGGTGGAGCTTGCAGTGAGCCAAGATCGCGCCACTGCACTCCAGCTGGGGTGACAGAGTGAGACTCTGTCTCAAAAAAAAAAAAAAAAAAAAAAAAACAAATTTACCAGCACATTAAAAATATCATTCACCATGATCAAGTAGAATGTATCCCTGGGAGGCAATGATGGCACAGCAGACACAAATCAATAAATGTGAAATACCACATTAACCAAATGAAGTATAAAATCATATAATATTCTTTTTTTATTTTTTTATTTTATTTTATTATTATTATACTTTAAGTTTTAGGGTACATGTGCACAATGTGCAGGTTAGTTACATATGTATATATGTGCCATGCTGGTGTGCTGCACCCATTAACTCGTCATTAAGCATTAGGTATATCTCCTAAAGCTATCCCTCCTCCCTACCCCCACCCCACAACAGTCCCCAGAGTGTCATGTTCCCCTTCATGTGTCCATGTGTTCTCATTGTTCAATTCCCACCTATGAGTGAGAATATGCAGTGTTTGGTTTTTTGTTCTTGCGATAGTTTACTGAGAATGATGATTTCCAGTTTCATCCATGTGCCTACAAAGGACATGAACTCATCATTTTTTATGGCTGCATAGTATTCCATGGTGTATATGTGCCACATTTTCTTAATCCAGTCTATCATTGTTGGACATTTGGGTTGGTTCCAAGTCTTTGCTATTGTGAATAGTGCCGCAATAAACATACGTGTGCAGGTGTCTTTATAGCAGCATGATTTAGAGTCCTTTGGGTATATACCCAGTAATGGGATGGCCGGGTCAAATGGTATTTCTAGTTCTAGATCCCTGAGGAATCGCCACACTGACTTCCACAATGGTTGAACTAGTTTACAGTCCCACCAATAGTGTAAAAGTGTTCCTATTTCTCCACATCCTCTCCAGCACCTGTTGTTTCCTGACTTTTTAATGATTGACATTCTAACTGGTGTGAGATGGTATCTCATTGTGGTTTTGATTTGCATTTCTCTGATGGCCAGTGATGGTGAGCATTTTTTCATGTGTTTTTTGGCTGCATAAATGTCTTCTTTTGAGAAGTGTCTGTTCATGTCCTTCGCCCACTTTTTGATGCGTTGTTTGTTTTTTTCTTGTAAATTTGTTTGAGTTCATTGTAGATTCTGGATATTAGCCCTTTGTCAGATGAGTAGGTTGCGAAAATTTTCTCCCATTTTGTAGGTTGCCTGTTCACTCTGATGGTAGTTTCTTTTGCTGTGCAGAAGCTCTTTAGTTTAATTAGATCCCATTTGTCAATTTTGGCTTTTGTTGCCATTGCTTTTGGTGTTTTAGACATGAAGTCCTTGCCCATGCCTATGTCCTGAATGGTAATGCCTAGTATTCTTAATAGATGCAAAAAAATGAAAAAAGTCAACATTTTTCACAATAAAAAAATCAACAATTTGGGATAGAATGAATGTACTGCAACACAATAAAAGCCATATATTATCCTTGTCAAAGTATATAAAATTTCACTTATGAGGAATAAATGAAAGACTTCTATTGTATAACAATATGTGACCATAGTTAACAATACGTTGTATTCTTTAAAAATGCTAAGACAGTGGATGTGAAGTCTCTCACCACAAAAATATATTAATATATGAGACAATGCATATATTAATTAGCTGGATTTGGTTCTTCCATAATGCATATATACTTCAAAACATCATGCTTTACAAACCAAATTCATAAAATTTTATCTGTCCATTAAGAGGTATTATAAAATTATATTATTTATTTATATTCTTTGAATTCTTAAAGGAAATGTTTTAAAACCCTAAAGTACTTTTTTATCTCCTATAAATTTATTTCATTTTAATCATGTAGCCTAAGCTAAAAGTATCACATGGTTTTCTTCCTTTTTTTGAAACAGAGTCTTGCTCTGTCACCCAATCTGGAGTGCAGTGGCACAATCTCGGCTCACTGAAACATCTGCCTCCCTGGTTCAAGCAATTCTCCTGCCTCAGCCTCCAGAGTAGCTGGGATTACAGGCATCTGCCACCACGCCTGGGTAATTTTTGTATTTGTAGTAGATATGGGGTTTTGCCATGTTGGCCAGGTTGGTCTTGAACTCCTGACTTCAAGTGATCCACTCTCTTCGGCCTCCCAAAGCACTTGGATTACAGGTGTGAGCCATCACCCCAACGACATGGTTTTCTTTAAATAGAAAACGATAATATTGGTAGGGGTCACTTCCAAGATGGCTGAATAGGAACAGCTCCGGTCTACAGCTCCCAACGAGATTGACACACAAGACGGTTGATTTCTGCATTTCCAACTGAGGTACCTGGTTCATCTCACTGGGACTAGTTGGACAGTGGGTGCAGCCCATGGAGGGCAAGCTGAAGCAGGGCAGGGCATCACCTCATCTGGGAAGCGCAAGACATCAGGAGATTTTTCTTTCCTAGCTAAGGGAAGCCATGACAGACTGTATCTGGAGATACGGTACACTCCAGATTGAATACAGTGCTTTTCCCATAGTCTTAGCAACCGGCAGACCAGGAGGTACCTTCCCATGCCTAGCTTGGTGGGTCACACACCCATGGAGGCTTGCTCATTTCTAGTGCAGCAGTCTGAGATTGAACTGCAAGGCTGCAGCCTGGCATGGGGAGAGGCGTCAGCCATTGCTGAGGCTTCAGTAGCTCAGGGTGTAAACAAAGAGGCCTGGAAGCACGAACTGGGTGGATCCCACCACAGCTCAGCAAGGCCTAATGTCTCTATAGATTCCACCTCTGATGGCAGGGCATAATAGAACAAAAGGCAGCAGACAGCTTCTGCAGACTTAAATGTCCCTGTCTGACAGCACTGAAGAGAACAGTGGTTCTCTCAGCATGGTGTTCAAGCTCTGAGAATGGACAGACTGCCTCCTCAAGCAGGTCCCTGACTCCTGTGTAGCCTGACTGGGAAACACTGCCCAGTAGTGGCTGACAGACACCTGAAACAGGCGGGTACCCCTCTGGGATGAAGCTTCCAGAGGAAGGATCAGGCAGCAATATTTGCTGATCTGCAGCCCCTGCTGGTGATATCCAGGCAAACAGGGTCTGGAGTGGACCTCTAGCAAACCCCAACAGACCAGCTGCTGAGGGGTCTGACTGCTAGAAGGAAAACTAACAAACAGAAAGGAATACCATCAACATCAACAAAAAGGACATCCACACCAAAATCCCAACAGTAGGTCACCAACATCAAAGACCAAAGGTAGATAAAACCACAAAGATAGGGAGAACCCAGAGCAGAAAAGCTGAAAATTCCAAAAAACAGAGCACCTCTTCTCCTCCAAAGGATCTCAGCTCCTTGCTAGCAAGAGAACAAAACTGAATGGATAATGAGTTTGACGAGTTGACAGAAGTAGGCTTCAGAAGGTTGGTCATAACAAACTTCTCTGAGCTAAAGGAGCATGTTCTAACCTATCACAAGGAAGCCAAAAACCTTGAAAAAAGGTTAGATGAATGGGTAACAATAATCAACATTGTAGGGAAGACCTTAAATGAGCTGATGGAGCTGAAAACCATGGCACGAGAACTTTGTGATGCATTCACAAGCTCCAATAGCCAATCGATCAAGTGGAAGAGAGGATATCAGTCATTGAAGATCAAATTAATGAAATAAAGCAAGAAGACAAGATTGGAGAAAAAAAGTCAAAAAAAATCAATAAAGCCTCCAAGATATATGGGACTATGTGGAAAGATCAAATTTACGTTTGATTGGTGTACCGGAAAGTGACAAGGAGAATGGAACCAAGTTAGAAAACACTTTGCAGGATATTATCCAGGAGAACTTCCCTGATCTGGCAAGGCAGGCCAACATTCAAATTCAGGAAATACAGAGAACACCACAAAGGTACTCCTCGAGAAGAGCAACCCCAAGACACATAATTGTCAGATTCACCAAGGTTGAAATGAAGGAAAAAATGTTAAGGGCAGCCAAAGAGAAAGGTTGGGTTACCCACAAAGGGAAGCCCATCAGACTTACAGTGGATCTCTTGGCAGGAACCCTACAAGCCAGAAGAAGAGAGTGGGGGCCAATATTCAACATTGTTAAAGAAAAGAATTTTCAACCCAGAATCTCATATTCAGCCAAACTAAGCTTCATAAGTGAAGGAGAAATAAAATCCTTTACGGACAAGCAAATGCTGAGAGATTTTGTCACCACGAGGCCTGCCTTACAAGAGCTCCTGAAGGAAGCACTAAATATGGAAAGGAAAAACCAGTACCAGCCACTGCAAAAACATACCAAATTGTAAAGACCATCAACACTATGAAGAAACTGCATCAACTAACGGGCAAAATAACCAGCTAACATCATAATGACAGGATCAAATTCACACATAACAATATTAACCTTAAATGCAAATGGGCTAAATACCTCTATTAAAAGAACTGGGCTAAATACCTCTATTAAAAGACACAGGCTGGCAAATTGGATAAAGAGACAAGACCCATCTCATGTGCAAAGGCGCACATAGGGTCAAAATAAAGGGATTGAGGAAGATCCACCAAGCCAATGGAAAGCAAAAAAAAAAAAAAAAAAAAGCAGAAGTTGCAATCCTAATATCTGATAAAACAGACTTTAAACCAACAATGATCAAAAGAGACAACGAAGGCCAATACATGATGGTAAAGGGATCAATTCACCCAGAAGAGCTAACTGCCCTAAATATATATGCAACCAATACAGGAGCATCCAGATTCATAAAACAAGTCCTTAGAGACCTACGTAGAGACTTTGACTCCCACATGATAGTAATGGGAGATTTAACACCCCACTGTCAATATTAGACAAATCAACGAGACAGAAGGTTAACAAGGATAACTAGGACTTGAACTCAGCCCTGGACCAAGCAGACATAATAGACATGTACAGAATTCTCCACCTGAAATCAACAGAATATACGTTCTTCTCAGTACCACATCACACTTATTCTAAAATTGACCACATAATTGGTTGTAAACACTCCTCGGCAAATGTAAAAGAACAGAAATCACAACAAACTGTCTCTCAGACCACAGGGCAATCAAATTAGAACTCAGGATTAAGAAACTCACTCAAAACCACACAACTACATGGAAATTGAACAACCTGCTTATGAATGACTACTGGGAAAATAACAATATTAAGGCAGAAATAAAGATGTTCTTTGAAACCAATGAGAACAAAGACAGAGCATACCAGAATGTATGGGACACATTTAAAGCAGTGTGTCGAGGGAAATTTGTAGCACTAAATGCCCACAAGAGAAAGCAGGAAAGATCTAAAATCGACACCCCAACATCACAATTAAAAGAACTAGAGAAGCAAGAGCAAACACATTCAAAAGCTAGCAGAAGGAAAGAAATAACTAAGATCAGAGCAGAACTGAAGGAGATAGAGACACAAAAAACCCTTCAAAAAATCAATGAATCCAGGAGCTGTTTATTTTTTTTGAAAAGATCAACAAAATAGATAGACCTCTAGCAAAACTAATAAGGAAGAAAAGGAGAAGAATCAAATAGACACAATAAAAAATGATAAAGGGGCTATCACCAACGATCCCACAGAAATACAAACTACCATCAGAGAATACTATAAACACCTCCATGCGAATAAACTAGAAAATCTAGAAGAAATGGATAAATTCCTGGACACATACACCCTACCAAGACTAAACCAGGAAGAAGTTGAATCTCTGAATAGACCTATAACAGATTATGAAATTGAGGCAATAATTAATAGCCTACCAACCAAAAAAATCCAGGACCAGACAGATTCATAGCCGAATTCTACCAGAGGTACAAAGAGGAGCTTGTACTATTCCTTCTGAAACTATTTCAATCAATAGAAAAAGAGAGTGTCCTCCCTAACTCATTTTATGAGGCTACCATCATCCTGATATCAAAGCCTGGTAGACACACGACAAAGAAAAAAAAAAAAAGAGAGAGAGATAATTTTAGGCCAATATCCCTGATAAACACTGATGCAAAATCCTCAATAAAATACCAGCAAACCAAAATCCAGCAGCACATCCAAAAGCTTATCCACCATGATCACGTTGGCTCCATCCCTAGGATGCAAGGCTAGTTCACCATATGCAAATCAATAAACGTAATGCATCACATAAACAGAACCAATGACAAAAACCACATGAGTATCTCAATAGATGCAGAAAAGGCCTTCGGCACAATGCAACAGCCCTTCATGCTAAAAACTCTCAATAAACTAGGTATTGATAGAACGTATCTCAAAATAATAAGAGCTATTTATGACAAACCCACAGCCAATATCATACTGAATGGGCAAAAACTGGAGGAATTCTCTTTGAAAAGCAGCACAGGACAAGGATGCCCTCTCTCACCACTTCTCTCCAGCATGGTGTTAGAAGTTCTGGACAGGGCAATCAGGCAAGAGAAAGAAAAAAGGGTATTCAATTAGGAAAAGAGGAAGTCAAATAGTCTCTGTTTCCAGATGACATGATTGTATATTTAGAAAACCCCATCGACTCAGCCCAAAATCTCCTTAAGCTGATAAGCAACTTCAGCAAAGTCTCAGGATACAAAATCAATGTGCAAAAGTCACAAGCATTCCTATGCACCAACAGTAGACAAACAGAGAGCAAAATAATGAGTGAACTTCCATTCGTGATTACTACAAAGAGGATAAAATACCTAGGAATCCAACTTACATGAGATGTGAAGGACTTCTACAAGGAGAACTACAAACCACTGCTCATCAAAATAAAAGAGGACACAAACAAATGGAAGACGAATCCATGCTCTTGGATAGGAAGAATCAATTTCATAAAAGTGGCCATACTGCCCAAGGTAATTTATAGATTCAATGCAATCCCCATCTAGCTACCACTGACTTTCTTCACAGAATTGGAAAAAAAACTACTTTAAAGTTCATATGGAACCAAAAACAGAGCCTGCATAGCCAAGACAACCCTAAGCAAAAAGAACAAAGCTGGAGGCATCATGTTACCTGACTTCAAACTATACTACAAGGATACAGTAACCAAAACAGCATGGTACTGGTACCAAAACAGATATATAGACCAATGGAACAGAATAGAGGCCTCAGAAATAACACCACACATCTACAACCATCTGATCTTTGATAAACCTGAGAAAAACAAGCAATGGGGAAAGGATTCCCTATTTAATAAATGGTGCTGGGAAAACTGGCTAGCCATAAGTAGAAAGCTGAAACTGGATCACTTCCTTACACCATATGCAAAAACTAACTCAAGACGGATCAAAGACTTAAATTCAAGACCTAACATCATAAAAACCCCAGTAGAAAACCTAGGCAATACCATTCAGGACACAGGCATGGGCAAAAACTTCATGACTAAAACACCAAAAGCAATGGCGACAAACACCAAAATAGACAAATGGGATCTAATTAAACTAAAGAGCTTCTGCACAGGAAAAGAAACTATCATCAGAGTGAACAGGCAACCTACAGAATGAGAGAAAATTTTTGCAATCTACCCATCTGACAAAGGGCTAATATCTAGAATCTACAAAGGACTTAAACAAATTTACAAGAAAAAAAAATCTCATCGAAAAGTGGGCAAAGGATATGAACAGACACTTCTCAAAAGAAGACACTTATGCTGCCAACAGACATATGAAAATATGGTCATCATCACTGGTCCTCAGAAAAATGCAAAATCAAAACCACAATGAAATACCATCTCACGCCAGTTAGAATGGCAATCATTAAAAAGTCAGGAAACAACAGGTGCTGGAGAGAATGTGGAGAAATAAGAACGCTTTACACTGTTGGTGGGAGTGTAAATTAGTTCAACCATTGTGGAAAACAGTGTGGTGATTCCTCAAGGATCTAGAACTAGAAATACCATTTGACCCAGCAATCCCATTACTGGGTATATACCCAAAGGATTATAAATCATGCTACTATAAAGAACATGCACAAGTATGTGTGTGACACTATTATTGCGACACTATTCACAATAGGAAAGACTTGGAACCAACCCAAATGTCCATCAATGATAGACTGGGTTAAGAAAATGTGGCACATATACACATGGAACACTATGCAGCCATAAAAAAGGATGAGTTCATGCCCTTTGCAGGGACATGGATGAAGCTGGAAACTATCATTCTCAGCAAACTATCACAAGGACAGAAAACCAAAGACAGCATGTTCTCACTCATAAGTGGGAGTTGAACAACGAGAACACATGGACACAGGGTGGGGAACATCACACACCAGGGCCTGGCAGGGGGAGGGGGGCTGGGGGAGGGATAGCATTAGGAGAAATACCTAATATAAATGACGAGTTGATGGGTGCAGCAAACCAACGTGGCACATGTATATCTATGTAACAAACCTACACATTGTGCACATGATGTACCCTATAACTTAAAGTGTAATAATAAAAAAAGAAAAAGAAAAAGATAATATCATCTCTCTGATCCCTAAGTAATGGTAGACTTGTCGTGTTGATAATGTGAACAATAATATACAAGACTTATAGAAAAATATTGTGTTCAGGGGAAACCCCTATAGCAGTACAAAAATATATTTTTTTCTCATTTCCACATACTTTAATTTATTTCAAATTTTGTAATGTTTTACTTGTTTCCTTTATCTAATAACTCAAATTTGGATGTAATTTTTCTGTTTAGTTTTCCCTTACTCATATTTAAAAATAAGTCATGTTTCAAAATAAGAT